>NC_000001.11:237244727-237396242 GCF_000001405.40 Homo sapiens
TCCTCTCCTAAACTCCTCCTGTATGTCTGTGTCCTGAATTTTCTTGGCGCGAGACAATGAGCCCCGGGTATTTACCCCAGACAACGTACCGCTTGAATTTTACTAGTCCAGTGGAGGCTCCCATTGTCAAAGCCCTTTATAGCAAAGCTCTTAAAGTGTGTTTATTTCCTAAAGTCCAAGGATTCATTGTCTTATTTTAAAACTAATGTTTAATCACTCACTGTTTTTATGCTTTATCAGCACTTGTTAAAGATAATTTGGCTTGAGGCCAAGAGTTCCAGACCAGCCTGAGCAATATAGTGAGACGCTGTCTCTAAAAAATAAAAAAAAAATACTAAAATTAGCTGGGTGTGGTGGTGCATGCCTGTAGTCTCAGCTGCTTGGGAGACTGAGGCAGGAGGATCCCTTGAGCCCAGGAGTTTGAGACTGCAGTGAACTATGATAGTGTCACTGGACTCCAGCCTGTGTGACAGAGGGAAGCTCTGTCTTTGGAAAAAAAAAAAAAGAGATAGCTAAGATAGCTTGTATTTGTACTCTGATCAGCCTCTTTGGAAGCCCTTGTAGTTCTGTTTGAATGCCTCTCTTTGGAGCTTGGGCATGGCATGGCTTACCACATTGAGCAATGGCATGAGACCATTTCTATGTAGGCTTCTAAAGGGAAACATGCTCCTGTTAATGTGGAAATAAATTCAGCTGTAAGTTTATGTTTGTCAGGGCCCAGGAAGAGTAAGAATACAGGGTGAGAACGCGTAGGGAAATGCTCATTTCCATTAAAGCATATAAATAGAGGGAGGTTAGAGCTGTCAAAAACAAATCCTCCCCACATTTAGACTGTTAATATAAATTAAGAAGTTGTCAACCGTGTATCAAGGTGGAAGGAAAGACTCAACAAAGATAATGTTGGGAAAGGGCCATGTTGATTACAGAGGATTTATAGACTAATTTTGATTTAGGAAATGTATTATATCAACAATTGCTGAACATTTTCTTTAATTCTAGAAGCAAAAGCAACTTTAATCTGAAGTCACTTTATGCCTGCTTGTTTTGATCTGTTTTTTCTTTTTATTTTTTTGAGACAGAGTCTCGTTCTGTTGCCCAGGCTGGAGTGTGGTGGCACAATCTCGGCTCATTGTAACCTCTGCCTCCCAGGTTGCAGTGATTCTCCTGTCTCAGCCTCCCAAGTAGCTGGCATTACAGGTTCCCACCACTACACCCAACTAATTTTTGTATTTTTAGTAGAAATGGGGTTTCCCCATGTTGACCTGGCTGGTCTCGAACTCCTGACCTTGTGATCTGCCCGCCTTGGCCTCCCAAAGTGCTGGGATTACAGGCGTGAGCCACCACACCTGGCTGATCTGTTTTCTTTCCTTTTCTTTTTATTTTTTTGAGACAGAGTCTTGCTCTTTCGCCCGAGCTGGAGTGCGGTGGCACAATCTTGGCTCACTGTAACTTCCACCTCCTGGGTTCCAGCGATTCTCCTGCCTCAGCCTCCCAAGTAGCTGGGATTACAGGTGCATGCCACCAAGCCCGGCTAATTTTTGTATTTTTAGTAGAGACAGAATTTCCCCATGTTTACCAGGCTGGTCTCGAACTCCTGACCTCAGGTGATCTGCCAGCCTTGGCTTCCCAAAGTGCTGAGATTACAGGCGTGAGCCACCGTGCCTGGACTGTTTTCTTTCTTTTCTCGGTTGTTTTGTCCTGTCTCTGCCAACAGCATTATTGAATTAGCTGGGGGTTGCCAGTGCTTCCTTTCCCTTTCCCATTTCTTTTCATGGGGTCTTGCTATGTTGCCTCAAACTCCTGGGCTCAAGCAATCCTCCTGCTTCAGCCTCCCGAGTAGCTAGGACTACAGGCATGCACAACTGCACCTGGCTTTGTGTTATTCTTTTTTAGAGAGGTATATTCTTCACTTTGTTGGATGCCAATTTTGTTTATGAAACATTTGAATTCCCAAGTAACCTTGGTACTTTTACTTATTTTAAAAGTAATTGAATCTTCCTCTCCTTTCATATATTTTTGGCCTGATTTTTTGCAGCATTTGCTTTCTTATTATATTTGATTGGAATTTTGCTCAGAAATAAGATTTGTTTCTGATGATTTATTTTTGGATGATTTGATTCCATCTATAGGATTACATGACTTAATAACTACTAGCATATAAATTCACTCATGAAATAGAGAACCTAAAACATTTGATTGTCAATTTTAGTGGAAGATGCATACAAAGTTTCGTCTCAGTTACCACCTTATTTCTTGTGGTCCTACATATTATTTTGCGAGTGGCTATTGCTATTAACTGAAAGATAACTTTTTGAATTTTTATTTTGTCTAGTAGTAGCACTAGTATAAATATTACTGTCATCTGCTTCTCATTTTAATTTGAAAGAAAACATCTTTTAATGATTCCTGCCTTATAAACCCTATAATGATTTTCTTTCCTAATTTTTCTATGAGACTGCTTGAGAAGGACGGAGAAGGAAAAGCTCTCGACACTGTGAAATAGCTTACTGGAAGAGTAAGCATTTAAGCTCGTGCAAAAATAATTGTTTCTTTAAAAACTGCCTTTTCGCTACAGCTACACTTTTCTTGTCATTTCCTTTTGCTCTCCAGTTTTAAATTACACAGACTTTCGTAGAGTGCCCACTCTCCCTTTCTCACCTATTCATTGTGGAAAGATTCCTGTCAGGGCTAATCTTTAATAAGAGAGGCAGTTACAGTAACTATAGGGCGAAGAAGGGAACAGTAAAAGTTGAGCCCACTCAGATGTCATGGACCTGAAAGGTGCTGGTGGGTTGGAAGCTTCATTATGCTCAGCTGCTACAAGAGATTTCCTCTTTTTAGATTGATTAAGAAAAGGGGCTCAGATGACAGGTTAATAGGCTGCCCCTCACCAGCCATTGTGGCTCATCCAGGAGTGGGCACACCATGGGAAGAACACACAAAAGAGAAACATTTTGCAGAACAAAGACCACTCCAGGAGTATTGAGGTACCAGGAGGAAGGTGGAATAGAACCTTGTGGCAATGAAGGAAAGAAAAAAATCATTGTTTTAAGAGGGAGATCTGCTGCTGGCTCTGCTGGAAGAAAGTAGAGTCCAGGATATCTTAGGTGAGTCTTAAAACTGAAAAGTAACACTGTAATTGACAATAGGGAGAGGGTGAGGAAAGATCCAGAGTTTCTGTCCATGCTGGTACCTCAACTACAAAACAGGAGGCTTAAGGGTTTTCGCAGAATCTGAGTAGAAGTGATACAAAAATGATACATTGGCCGGGCACGGTGGCTTATGCCTATAATCCCAGCACTTTGGGAGGCCAAGGTGGGCAGATCACGAGGTCAGAAGTTTGAGCCCAGCCTGGGTAACATGGTGAAACCCTGTCTCTACTAAAAATACAAAAATGAGCCGGGTGTGGTGGTGCACTCCTGTAATCCCAGCTACTCAGGAGGCTGAGGCAGGAGAATTGCTTAAACCACGGAGGCAGAGGTTGCAGTGAGCCGAGATCACACCACTGCACTCCAGCCTTGACAATAGAGCAAGACTCCACCCCCCGCAACCCCGCCCCCCCCCCCCCCCCCAAAAATGATGATGTATCATTTGAAAAAAAAATCCATTGGTTTCAAAGGAGAAATACTGCTTTGGGTTGTGCATTAGTTGCTATTTGACTAAGTCATGTTTTGCTAAAAGTATCTTCAACATGAACTCTGGGGTTATTTTCTTGTTTTTTATTTCCCCTCATCAGTCATCACCCAGAGATTCCCAGGCTGGAAATTCCTTCTTTCTTTATTCATATGAAATTTAGTTTTTGCTTATAATATAGACTTCACACTGTTTCCTTCTTAGAAGAGGATGTTTTAATGTAACTGGGTATAAGCTGTATTGAGGCATGTAAAACAATGAAGGAAGGAACCCATTTTTATGATGAAGAGACAGGAAAATAGAGTTGTGACACTACCTTAGTACTGAGAGGTTTTTTAAAGATCTAGTTTGGATTTTTGAAAGACATACACAGATGACTAGACATTGAATGAATGTACATTTTTTTTTTTTTTTTTTTGAGATGGAGTTTTGCTCTTGTTTCCCAGGCTAGAGTGCAATGGCGTGATCTCAGCTCACCACAACCTCTGCCTCCCAGGTTCAAGCAATTCTCCAACCTCAGCCTCCTGAGTAGCTGGGATTACAGGCATGCGCCACCACGTCCGGCTAATGTTTTTTGTAGTTTTAGTAGAGACGGGGTTTCTCCATGTCAGTGAGGCTGGTCTTGAACTCCCAATCTCAGGTGATTCACCTGCCTCGGCCTCCCAAAGTGCTGGGATTATAGGCGTGAGCCATTGCGCCCGGCCGAACAAATGTACTCTTAGACATTTTTTTAATCTTTAGATTGAGCATCTTTGGATATCAGATACCAGCTGAGTTTAAATAACTAGTTTCCATTACTAGATGAAATTTTGATGAGAACCTTTAGAAGGTTAGTAATTTCTTTGTCCAACCCAAATGTAGTTTTTATATTACTCATAGTAAATGCCATTTTACATTTTCCTTCAAGATTTGTCTTGCTTAACAGTGCTGTCTGTCTTCCATGAGTCATACTGACCCAGTACAAGGTCCTCGTGGGTGATCAGATCTCACCAAAATTGGTTTCTGATGCTGCTGAAACTGCATATGACCTTGTTCATGACCTCTGGTGCTACTCCAAGTAGCTTGGATATGGATATTAGTATTAGTAACTATATTATGGTACTTCATAGTTTACAAAGGGCTTTCATATATTTTACTTACTTTGATCTTTATGGTAATTATTTGATATAGTTAAGGAGCAAGTGTAGATTTTTTATTTTTTAATAAATGAGATAATTGAATCTCATTGAAGTGGATTATTCCAAGGTTGACCATCTAGAAAGTGAGAGATTTGATATTTTTAACTCAAGTGTTTTGACTCCTAGTTCAGAGTTCTTTCCACTCTAGCATTGGCCTCAAAATATCAAGCCCTAAGAAATTCTGTTAGTTGCTTCCTTTATTTTTGTGCTTTGGCTAGAGTTTTATTGGTTTTATTTTTAAATTTGCATCTTTTTACTCACTCATTCAATCATCAAACACTCACTGAACATCTGTTATATTCCAGGGATGATGATACACACAGGTGCAGCAAGAATAAGACATGAGGCTCATTCTTGCAGAGTACAGTCTAAGAAAGAGAGAGTCAAAAGCAAGCAATGTGATGAGGGTTGTGAAGCGTGGTCCCAGTGAGGAAATTCATCAGTCTACTCTTCGATTTACAGAGTGGTTTACACTTTGATCCTGTAGAAATGCATTTTTTAGGCAACTTAGAACGGTCTTTCTTAATATGCCTCAGGTAGTAATGGGATGGACTAATCTGTGTGAAGGTAAACTGAATGGCAGATTGGGAATAGCTCTACAGGACTGTGTTACATTTAACAGCTGGGGAGACGGGCACACTGCTCCCAGCGTGGCTCTTGCCTTCCACGCACTGCCCTGGCATCCTGATCTTTTTTGTCTTAGACCTGTGTTAACACAGACACTATCATGATCAGTTATCTGCTGGTTCCCTCTAAGTGGTCTCTAAGTGCTTTGAGTGCCCTTGTTGCCAACATTTTTAGAATACTCAACTCAGCATGTCCAACTTGTTCACATGCTAGTAGTGCATTTTATCTTCTCAGCCATTCTTCTTCTTCCATTTTCTATGGTAATACCATGCATTTCCTTGGTATTTTAGAGCTTAAAGATAGTCTCTCATTTAAAGGGATATCGTCCAATGTTTAAGTCTTGTCCTCGTGTCTAATCTCAAGTGTGTCCTGGCAGTCCTCCCTTTACTAAGGCAGTTCCCTGTCTCGTATTCCTCAAAGCCCGTCTTCCCTTCCCATTCTCAGCTGATTTCACTGAGAAAACAGAAGCAGTTGGAAGAGAACTTATACATCCTTTCACCCGCCAAACTCCCAGCCACTTTACCTTTGCTCCTATCTGAAGCCACCACCTCCACCTGTGCTTTGATCCCAGGTGGAGATACACCTATCCCATCTCTTGCCCAAATCACTAACTTCTTATTTGATCTTTTCAGGATTATTTCCATCAGCATGTAAACATGTGATCATATCTTCTTACCGTCCCTCAAGTGTATCAAAAACACTGTTGTTGGAACTTTCTCCTAGCTAGCCTATGATTTTCTCTCTCACAAATTCAGATTATGTTAGCAGAGGGATCTTCCCTGTATAGCCCATTTAAAATATCAACTCCCATTATTGCTCTGTCCTACCCTACTTTATTTTCTTTATACCAATTCCCCAACAGATGTGTGTGTGTGTGTGTGTGTGTGTGTGTGTGTGTATGCATATAGATACATTGTCTCTCCCTATTTTATTTCTACAAAGACAGGAGTTTTGTCTGTTTCGATCTTTCCTTTCCATAGTGCCCAAAATAGTGCCTGAAATGTCACAGACAGCCCCAGATATTTACTTTTTTGACTCCATATCGTCTTCAGCTACTATACCATTTCTTTGCTCACCTTTGTAAAACAAGTCAAGAGTTGTCTGTACCTGCTGCTCTGCTGCTTCTCTTCTCATTCATTCTTAAGTCCCCTCCATTCTGGATCTCTTCCCCACAGCTCCACTGAAATGGCCCTTGACCAGACCACCAGTGAACACCACGTTGCCAAATGTAATGGCAATTCTAAACTGCCTTCTCACTCAACTTCCAGGTAGCATTCTACCTGGTTGACTATTTTTTCTCTTTGTAATCTGTTTAGATCGGTTGGCCCCTGACTTTCTTTCTACCTTAGAGGTCATTCTTTATAATTAGCCTTTGTTGAATTCCTCCCCTCTTTCCAACCTCATAATGTTGGTGTGCACCAGGGTTCACTTTTAGATCGTCCTGTCTTTAGTTACCTATTCATTCCCTTAGTGATCTCAGCTGGTATCATGTCTTTATATATGTTCTTCACAGGGATGAGTCCTAAATATTTATCTTCAGCCATGACATTTTTCTTGAATTCCAGATTTGCATATCCAACTGCCAACTTGATATCTCACTTGGAAGAACATCATCACAAACCTAACTCATCTGAAGTTGGCTTCACATTCTCCTCCCCTATCACTAACTGCCTTTCCCACAGTATTCCCCATTTCGGTACATGGTACCACCATTTATCCAGTTGTTCAGACCTAAACCCTTCTAATTATTCTTTTTCCTATCGTTATCCCACATCAGCAAATCCTGTCAATTCCATTTTTAAAAAAAATATATCTGGATTCTGACCTTTTCCCGGCACTTCCACAGGTCACACCCTAATAGAAGCCACCATCGTCTTTTGCTTGGCTACGGTAACAACCTCTCATGCCCCTAGCATGGCTTCCTGAGTGGTTCTTTTAGAGTGGGAATGAGTCATGTCCTTCCTCTGCTTGCAACTCTCTGTGGCTCCCAAGGTACTTGGACCAAACTCCAAAGCCCTTCTCAGTCCTCCGTGGCCCTCTGGGTCTACCCTGCCTGGTCTCTGCACTCATTTCCTCCTACTCAACTCAGCCCACCAGCCCATTTGTTCTTCCTGGAGCCGACTGAGACATTTCCTACTGCAGAGCTTTTGTGTTGGCTGCTCTTTCCTGCCTGGAATATTCCACAGGCTCACTCCCAGCTTTATGCAGTTCTTGGATTAGTGTCCCCTCATCAGAGAGGTCATTTACGACCATCCTGTAATATATCCACCTTGATCCTTCAGCCCTGTCGTTAGAATTCCTGGCTTTTATCACGAGCTGACATTACATTTTGTAACTATTCATTTACTTGTTTATCAATCTCCTCCCAAGTGTAAGCTCCATGGGTGTAAGAAATTGTTCTGTCTCATTCACAGTCTTATGTGTTGAATGAATGAATTTAATTTTTACAAAAATAGAAATGAGGAAGTAACAAGTATTCGTAGTCTTTTATATTCTGGTAATTGTTTCCTGGGTACTTTGTTAAAATTATATTTTGATTAATCCCTTGTGACAATCCTCTAAGGTGGAGATTTCAGAGAGGAAAAACATTGCAATCCCAGTGACTAGTAAAAGGAAAGCTAGAGAGCTGGGATGCAAACCCTGGGTGTGTCTATTGCAAAAGCAAATCTCTTTCCACTTAATCCATATTCTTTATTTATTATAAATTATAAAATAATGGTTGGGCACAGTGGCTCATGCCTGTAATCCTAGCACTTTGGGAGGCCAAGGTGGGTGGATCCTTTGAGGTCAGGAGTTCGAGACCAGCCTGGCCAACATTATGAAACTCCATCTCTACTAAAAATACAAAAATGAGCCGGGCGTGGTGGTACACGCCTGTAATCCCAGATACTCGGGAGGCTGAGGCAGCAGAATCGCTTGTACCCGGAGAGGGAGATTGCAGGGAGCTGAGATCGTGCCACTGCACTGCAGCCTGGGCAACAGAGCGAGACTCCGTCTCAAAAAAAAAAAAAAAAAACAACAACAAAAAGTGAAATAGTAAGTATACAGTGGATATTACAAATTATTATTATATTATTATTTCTGTCTAATAGATGAGATCACTGAGGATGAAGTGACAGGTGAGTTACCTGGGGTCATGCCACTAGACCCCACCACTCATGCTGGAAAAAGGACTTCAGAACCTGGTTCTGATTTGGCTTCAGTGGGCTCTTTTTGTACAACCACAAGATTTCTGCAATGCAGATACTTTGTGTATCTCACTTTATCTGAGCAACTTTTACGTTTTCCATCCATTATATTTTACCCCTTGTAAACTGGCAGAGGCTCACATTTGTAAGTTAAACACCAAGCTTTTCAAAACCTAGTCCTAAAACTTGTATCATGATTTTGCTTCATGTGCAAGCTAACCTTTGATTTCTCTTCACAGTACCTGTGTAAACTGAATGAAAACAGCAGTTGAACTGAAATTTGCTGTTTTGCTTGTACTTACTTTCTCCTCTGCCAATGTACAACCTAACTTTTATCAGGAATAGTTTATTGCTCAGGTATAGTTTGCTGGTTCATCCGTTCATTTTCAGGCTGGAGAAAAGCCTTCAGCTGAAATATCTACCAATTGCAAGAAAAGTGAGGTAATTTACGGAAAGTCTACAAAAATAGGGAGTCATGGTGCCTGGTACACCAGATGATAATCAACATGTTAATTAAAGAATTATGTTTATAATTAGCCTGAAAGAAGATAATTTAATAGGTTGGCCAATTACAGAGATAAATTGGAGGCTGAAATTGCAAACTTATATTTCACTGTGTTTTTCAAAAGCACATCTATGAACTGATAGATAAATGTTATGTCCATACACACAGAGCTATGAAACCCTTCTATAAACATGAAATTGGGGAGATACATGTCAAAACATATCCCAGAAACAAGATTAAAATTACTTCTGTGAATAATGCTATACCATGCCCCATGTTTTTGCTGAAAACTCATTGGTGTTTATTCTCCTATGATGGTATACTAAATATCTGTCCAGATTACTGTTATTTTTTTTATTTAGTCTTGAGAATTTGCCCTGTGTTTGTGCAATACAAGAAAAAATACACTTGCTGAAGGTCATTGTGTTGTGCAATACAAGAAAGAACCATGTCTTCAAAATCACCTTATCTTGAAATAATAGATTTTGGATAGAGAGATTTAGGTCTTGAAAATTGCTTCTAAAATTACTTCTCCATCTTTTCTTGTGCAGTATTTGGAGCTTATGCAATAAACCAGTCTTTTCAGTATCTCTCTTTAAAATGTGATATTTTCAGTGTCCTTACTTAACATGGAATAATCGTACACAGTGGTTTTCTTTTCAGAATTTTAACATGGTTTGTACAATCTGAGTCTGGTATAGGTCTTTGAGAATGTCTACCACTTGTTTATTGTGGTCTCATTCTTTAGAGAGGAGGAGGATGGTTTTCAGCATTCTAAAATATGCAAGCAACGGACACCAATCTGTTATGTGTACTCTATACATATATTTATACTTACACATGGGTCTCATCTGCTCTAAATATTTAAGCGTGGTATGAATAAATACATTTAATGTTTCATAGACACATAATATCTCACAGTTTGTAGAACAGACAATGCTCTCTGGTGTAATTACCAGGCTGATCCTAAGGGGCCAGCCTGTCTGGCACTTGCTTTCATCTCTGAATACTTTATGCTTATGGATAAACCAGGTGACAAGGAGATGCCTTGGAGTGCTAAATTCTGCATGTCTCAATGTTTGATTTTAACTCTTTATGTGCTAATGGGAACACTCATTTTCTTTAACAGCCATTTCTTTGGGCCTGTTCTACTTTAGGTATGAGAGGCTCAGGAAAACTTTCTTATCCTCAGCACACACATTATGATGAAGTTTAACCAGAGTCTTGATAAGTGAGCAATCTTCAATGCCAACTGGGAAATTCAGATCATTCACAACTGGGAACATAGGCATAGATTTGATTCATGCTATTTTTTAAGTGGAAAAGAGAAACAGGTGCATTTTTGTTGATGTTACTGTTTGGTGAATGTATCTGTCGATGTTAATCTCATCTCACATGAAACAGACACTGAATTTGAATGTCTGAAATATGTCCAGTCTTTTTAGATCTGATATTTTTACTCATATGCCAACTTTCTTATGATAATTGTCAAATTAAATGCTAAATTCTGATAGCTGCTTCCATTGGTGGATTCCACATAGATGACATCTATATCCAAGCCATTTTAGGCTCTTCACTTCTTTTTATCTTTTTCTAAAAGTTAAAACATTTCAGGACCTTACTTAGTTTAGGGGATTTATAACATAGGAACAAAAAAATTTCCTTTGCCTCCTGGTTTCTGGGAATCTGTCTTTCTTTCTTTGCTTAGTATTTATCAAGAAGTATAGTTTGCCATCACTACATATTAGATGACATTCATGAGGGCAGTTTCAATTTTTTTCACACATTTTGAAATCAAATTTCACTAGACAATAGATGGGATCTATCACGATACTGAAATGGATTTTCCATGTGATCATATGGGCACATTGATCCTGACTATATCAGTTCTTCTGTGATTGGCACTCGATTGATTGCAGGATTGTATCTGCATCCACAAATTATTTGTGTGATGTTCTAGTTGTGCTGCTTGCTATACCAGTGTGTGTGTGTGTGTGTGTGTGTGTGTGTGTGTGAGTTTAGCTTTTCTTTAGTAATTTCACAGCTCTACTATTCTATGGCCTGCCAAGGGGGACACAGGAGTGTGGCAGAGGGAGAAGTCAGCCAGGTGATTTGGAGTTTATTCCCTGACAGTCTTTAGAATTGCCTTTTGATGTGGTTTGGCTGTGTCGCCACCCAAATCTCATCTTGAATTGTAGCTCCCATAATTCCCACATGTTGTGGGAGGGACTCAGTGGGAGATAATTGAATCATAGGGGCAGTTTCCCCCATACTGTTATGGTGGTAGTGAATAAATCTCATGAAATCTGATGATTTTATAAGGGGAAACCCATGTCGCTTGTCTCACATTTTCTCTTGCCTGCCGCCGTGTAAGATGTGCCTTTCGCCTTCTGCCATGATTGGGAGGCCTCCCTAGCCACATGGAACTGTGAGTCCATTAAACCTCTTTTTCTTTATAAATTACTCAGTCTCTGGTATGTCTTTATCAGCAGCGTGAGAATAGACTAATACAGTAAGTTGGTACCAGGAGTGTGAGAACAGACTAATACACCTGTGTATGGTGATTATAGAAAGGAAACCAAATTTTCATCAGTAGATTACCATTTCAAAGCTCCCTACAAAGTCATCACCTTCTTGCCTGCATCTGGGGCTGGCTGTGCCCTTGACTCCTTCACCTTCCTTGGTTCTCTGCTGCTCCTCTTAATTATTCCGTTTCCTGGATTTTAGGGTAACATGGAAACTTGTGAAAGCGGTAATTGAAGAGGAAGACACTCTGCTGGCTTCTGAGCCAATAACTTTGTTTTATCAAGTACTTTAATGAATTCCAAAGGATATGGCAGATGTTAATACATTCATTCTTCCTAAAATAGCCCAAAAAAGTAGGCTTAACTCTAGTATTTTTCCATCTCTAAAATGCAAAGTGAGAACGGTCGCTTTCTCATCTTCTGTGCTGATCTCCCTCTTCCACTCTACTTTTTTCTCCTTTACCAAAAATTTGAGTGACTTTACTTGAGGCTGCCCTTCCTTAGTCTAAATTTTAATTACCTATTCATGATATAGCCAACCTTCTCTTTCTCACCTCACCATTGCATCCCACTCCTCCATTCAAACCAATTTGCTTGGCATTTTCTGTAAATTTGTTTTTCATGTGGTTTTGTTGTCATTGACACTATTCAGGGTGCATACGATAAGTCTAGAGTCTATTCACTTTAGCTGTAGCCTACTATCTAAAGATATTTGGGAAATCACAGGACTGTACTTTGTCTTTTAATGCAGTGATTTGATATCATTGTAGGAGACAATATAGTCTTGAGGCTAGGAGCATAGATTTTGGAATTGTGTGGGCCCAGATTTGTCTCATTCGACCACCTGCGCATCCATGAGCAAATGGCTTACTCTTACAATGGCTCTTTCTGCTCATCTGTAGGGTAACCATAATAATAGTAATAGTAATTAACTCATAGAGCTCTTCATTTCTTAGCCATTGACCGTCGCTTCTGTGCCAGATGCTGTGCTATATGATAGGTATAAGTTGATAAATAAAACTAACATGAACCTCCCTTTGCTATTTCATTGAGATAATGCATAGTACCTGGGAGTAGATGCTTAATGATACACCTAGGAAGGAGGTAGTTCTAGAATGTAATCAATGGTAGCTTCTTTCCCTTTTAAAGGTATAGAAAGTATCATTCATTCTTTATTCTCCAAATAGAGGACTGAATATCTACTATGTGCTGGGTACCAGGGATGCGGTATGAACGAGGTCGGCAGAGTCTTTCTTCATGCAGTGTGCGTGCTTCTGTTCCAGAAGACAGTGAGCAAGGAAACAGTTGAGTAAACTAAGCAGTTATAGAGTGTGATGCATGTTATGAAGGAACTGGAGAGATAATGGTGGGAAGGAAGGTAGGGTGAGAAGGAGAGGAGAGGGCTAATAAGGTAAGACCTTAAAAATGGGACAGAGCAGGTTTTGCAAAGATCTGGAGGAAGAACAAGCAAAGACCTTGAGGTAGAAAAGGGCTTTGTGGCCAGGCACAGTAGCTCACGCCTGTAATCCCAGCACTTTGGGAGGCCAAGGCGGGCAGATCACCTGAGGTCAAGAGTTCGAGACCAGCCTGGCCAACATGGTGAAACCCTGTCTCTACTAAAAATACAAAAAAAGATTAGCCAGGTGTGGTGGCAGGTGCCTGTAATCCCAGCTACTCGAGAGGCTGAGGCAGGAGAATCCCTTGAACCCAGGAGGTCGAGGTTGCAGTGAGCCGAGATCGTGCCATTGCACTCCAGCCTGGGTGACAAAAGTAAGACTCCATCTAAAAAAAAAAAAAAAAAGAAAGAAAAAGAAAAAAAGAAAAGGGCTTTGCACATCTGAGGAGCAAAATAGCGGTATGTGTGGTTGGATTGTAGCAAGCAGAGTGGAGAATGACGTGAGAAGGTGTTATAGATGGAGGAGGAAGTAGATCATGCAATATGTCTGATGGACTGTGAGAAGCTGACTTCCTCTATGGCCAGAGTGATGTCAGGGCAGGTAACAGGACTACAGGCAGTCAGGAGGAGGAAGTCATCAGGATGCTGCCTGGGAATCTGGCATTCATTACTGTTTGCTTGACAGTGCCACTTATCAAGATAAGGAACTATGGGGGATGGCAAAATTTGGGGTAATAGACCTATTAAAATGTGATCATTATTGGTGGCTATTCATGAAATAAAGGCATATCTATATATTCTTTTATGTACCTCTTGGTTTCTGTGACATTTAAGAAAAGTGTTCAAGACTTTCTTTGAAGATGGCTCAAGTTTTTATTTTTGCTGCTTCTTAGTTGGCAGGAACTAAAAGTCCAGGTCACTAAAGATTGCTGATGGCTTGTGAGGACAGCCCTGAGTGAGACTGAATCAGTTGGTTGACAACAGACTGTGACAGAATGCTAAGGCGTTAATTTAGAGTTTATTGGTGCAGTATACCTGCTCAGCACTGATGGATTTCCTGATTTAGTGTATTAAAGATGAAAAAGTAAAGTTCCTTTCTGATAGAAGTGTTTATTTCTACTAAACTGGGACTAGAAAAGCATTGATGAAAGTTTATATATTCAGAGCAACATTCTGCCTTCTGCCTTCTGCTTGGCCAGCTGCCATCTCTGACTGATGGAAATAAAGTGAGGGCTCTGACATCATCTTGATGGTGTCTGGTATTTGGGTGTTTCTGTCCAGCTCCCTTTGGCTGACATTACCAAGGCACACTGTTAATACTGGCCTCACAGGCCATAATCTCTTATGTGTCATTTTGTATTTAAACTTTTGCATAAGAGTCATCAGCACAGAACAACAGATTACTTCTGTAGCTATATTATTTTTGAGATAGAAAAGATACTACTGGACCAGGCATGGTAGCTCACACCTGTAATCCCAGCACTTTGGGAGGCCAAGGCGGGAGGATCACCTGAAGTCAGGAGTTCAACACCAGTCTGGCTAACATGATGAAACTCTCTCTCTACTACAAATACAAAAATTAGCCAGGCATGGTGCTGTGCGCCTGTAATCTCAGCTACTCAGGAGGCTGAGACAGGAGAATCGCTTGAACCTAGGAGGCAGAGGTTGCAGTGAGTGAGTCACACCACTGCACTCCAGCCTGGGCAACAGAGTGAGACTCCAGCCTGGGCAACAGAGCTCTAGACCATTTAAAAAAAAAAAAAAAAAAGAGAGACTACCGTCACCTTGTATAAAACCACACACACAGCATAAATAGTTAAGCCTACTAATGAAATATCCTGTCATTTCCTCTACTTAATAGAAGGCTACAGATAGGCTTATACAGTAAACATGTGAAAGGTACAGTTGACTTCTCTGCTTGAATTTGCACATGGGGGGAATTCGTTCTCTTCTTTTGCCCTTTTCACAGAACCGTAAAATGTGAGGACTGAAGGCACCTTGGAGGATGCCCAGTTCATCCACTGGTGGGGAACTGAAGACTAGACAGTTACACGGTAGTTCAAATGCAATCATATCACTGCAATTAAAACTATGAGAAGACTAGATTATTCTGTAATATCACCACATTAGGAATATGAATCACTGTCAAATAGCAGATGCACATCATATGGATATGATTGATGTGATCACATCACTTCTTTTAGAGTCTGTGGATGACTGGTCACTGTGTATTGGTTTTTAGTTCATGCATACAAGGCAAAGTGTGTAGTGTTGTTACCTTCTTGTTCCCCAGTGATCCAAGATTTACAAAAAATGAATAAGTGGAAATTGGCTAACAGATGAAAGTACATCAAAGAAACAAAAAGTGATAACATTGGGAACTGGAATTCCAATTGAACATAAAGGAGTTCTAAAAGGATGACCTGGCTATGGAAGGATGACAGTCCTGCCCTTTGACTGCCTGTAAATACGCACCCAGAGGAACTTAGTGAAAGTGAGCTTATTGACGTGTGCAAGGAAAATGGTTCTGACCCATAGGATGTAGGTGTTCCAGAGTAAATGACACCAGGTGAAAAACTTCACATTAAAGAACCCTCAGAGATATTTCAGCACGTTGAAAGCACAAAGGAGAAAATTCCCGAAGGTGATTCAAATGTAGGAGCATGACAATTTGTCCAGGGATAGCAAAGATGCTTATTCCACTGGGACAGTTATATTGTGGGATGAGTGAAGGCAGGTCACAAGTGTTTTACAAAGGAATAAAACACTTTGATGGGGTGCCGTGGGTCACACCTGTAATCCCAGCACTTTGGGAGACCAAGGTGGGCAGATCGCTTAAGTCCAGGAGTTCTAGACCAGCCTGGGCAACATGGTGAGACCCTGTCTCTACAAAAATAAAATAAAATAAATAAAACACGTTAATTCTCAATGTTTCCAGTCTTCTAAATTATAGTGTACTAAGTACATTTAGTTTTATTATTTAGAAAATGTTGTCTATACATTTATAAATCATAGGGAGTTTGTCATGTTTGGACAAAAATTCTTAAAGGTCATGGAACAATGATAAACAATGTGAATTTTCCCAAAGCTTGTCTGAAGACATTTTTATGGTCCTGTACTAGCATGCAAACTGAGGACTGCCTGTATTTTAAATGAATAAATATAGACTGAGTGAAAGTCCAAAAATATTGGCTTCTTTTATTTGGAATTATCTCAGCTTATTCTGTTAACTACTTATTTGCTTTAACAAAAACAAAAAAATAGCATAGATAACATTTTATTTGTCTGTATGACATAAATGTCAAAAGCAATGATGGGATAAATGAGATCAACTTGTAAGCACTTATCACCATGCCTGCAACATAACTGGAACTTGATAAATGCAACGCATATCTAGAATTTGATCATTTCTCTCTACTTCCACTGCTACCATTCTGTTTTGAGCCACCATCTCCCTCCCTGAATGGTTGCAGTGACCCCCCTTGGGTAACTGCTTCTTCCTTGCCTTTCTACACTCTACATTTAGTACATGACCCAGTGGCTGCCCATTTCCCCCAGTAAAATCCAAAGGTCTTACACTGACATCAAGGCTTTCCATGGTCTGGGCCCATTATCTCTGACCTCATCTCCCACCCACTTCCCCTAGCCTAGTCTGCTCTAGCTGTGAATTTTCTGACGATGCTAAGTCCATGCTTTCCTGCCTAGAGGGCTTTCACCAGCTTTCCCTCTCCCTGGATTGCTCCCCCTCCACTGGTGCTCACTCCACCGGGACGGTTATATTGTGGGACGAGTGAAGGCAGGTCACAAGTGTTTTACAAAGAAATAAAACACTTTGGTGGGGTGCCGTGGGTCACACCTGTAATCCCAGCACTTTGGGAGGCCGAGGTGGGCAGATCACTTAAGCCCAGGAGTTCTAGACCAGCCTGGGCAACATGGCGAGACCCTGTCTCCACATCGTCATTTGATCAATTTCTCATTCCTCCTTAAAGTCTTTGCTCAAAAGTCACCCCCTCAATGAGGCCCTGGCAATTCTGTTCAAAACCTCAACTTCCCCCAGGCTAGTAGCATCTCCGATCCCCTTATACTATTCTTTTTTTTCTTTCCATAGAACTTTTCACCTTCTAAGATTTTCAGATTTTTAGTTTATTTTTTAAAATTTGTCCTCTTCTCTTGCTAGAATGCAAGCCTAATGAGTTCGGGGATCTTTTGTTTATTAGGCAATTTAGCTCTTATAATATTTCCTAGCATGTATTGCATCTGAGTGAATATCTTTTAAATGATGAATGACTATTTGAAAGGAACTGTTGATGTTGTTTGAGAATTGTTCTCCATTCTGTACTGTTCCAGCAGACTTGGCAACAGTGATTGTAGAAATCATGTCTTATTTACTCATCACAAAATTGTCAGAATCCAGTACTCCAGTTCTGGCCTTTCTTCCATAAATATTAGATCTCTGTTCTAAAGAGTTTTTTTTTTTTTTTTTTTTTTTTTTTATGATGGAGTTTCACTCTTGTCGCCCAGGCCAGAGTGCAATGGCACTCTCTTGGCTCACTGCAACCTCCGCCTCCCAGGTTCAAGTGATTCTCCTGCCTTAGCCTCCTGAGTAGCTGGGATTACAGGCACACACCAGCATGCCCAGCTAATTTTTTCTATTTTTAGTAGAGATGGGGTTTCACCATGTTGGCCAGGCTGGTCCCAAAATCCTGGCCTCAGTTGATCCACCCGCCTCGGCCTCCCAAAGTGCTGAGATTATAGGCATGAGCCACTGCACCTGGCCAAGAGTTTTATAGTCACAGGAAATACAGAAAGGAATTCAATTCAACATATATTGACTGAACATTTTCTATGTACAGTTGTCTAAAATGGATAATTAGTAACTTAGGTTTTCACTAAAGCATTTATTTTCATTAAGCCACTGGTTTCCGTGGAGTTTAAGCTGATGTGCTGGAGAGATAACCACAGGATAAGATACATATAGTGAGCTTTCTGAGTTGATGCTAATTATGGAAAAATTCTCAGGACATAACTTAGAGGACCAGTTACACAAAGCCTAAACCTGGAAAAAAATCTCGGAAGACTGGAGGAGTAAGAGTTTAGGGAAAATACTTGGCATGATGTGAGAGATTTTTTTTTTAATGACTAGAGTTATTAAGACTATTTATTGAGTTTTCAAGAGTATAATATATGACTGATTCGTTTAGATTATGTACACAAAGAGCATTGTTTTACTTAAAATAGGGGAAAAAGAAGGGACTGCATTGCTTTTTTTCAGTGATGCATTGGGTTTTATATTGAGGCTGTGGATGCTTATGATACATTAAAATTTGTCACAGCAATAATAGACAGGATCGGTAATTTTCCTCCAATATTGCCCTATTTCCTGGCTGCATGAAACCATGAAATCACTTAATGGGATCATACAATACCAGCTTTGATTGGAAATTAAATAAGATCTTACCTTGGCAGTTCTAAAAAGAGACTCCATCTGTCAGCATGGCAGCATGTATTTATGAATAATCTTAAGGTGGATTGTGATAAGCAATCACTTATTGAGTTCATAACATTTGCAGGCACAGTGTTAGACAATAGAGATGTACTGGTGAGCAAACCAGACCTTGTTCCTGCTCTCACACAGATCCTAATGCTATTGGAACCCATAGAAATGGACAGAATTGGGTCTAAGTAACTGCAAAGAAGTGATTTCTGTCTGCAAGTAACATCACTGTCATGGTTTATGAATTCTGTTCCTTGTTATTAAATATCAACCAGGAAACTGATGTGAAAGTGGCATGGGGAGATACTAAATAAAATGCGTAGGCTCACCCTTGAGTGCTTCAAGATGTTTGTATGGGAGGAATGGAGTATCTTTTGTTTGATTCTTATTTGTTGTAATGGAAAGGCAGAAGCCCCTCTAAATACCACCCCCTTGCTGGGATCAAATTGGATTAGAGGTCATCTATGTATCTATTTAATAGATATTTTTTGATTGAGTGCTTCCTGTGAGCCAGCATTCTTACAGGCTTTGGTGATCACCATTAGTAAAAGTGACAAGGTCCTTTCCCTTACAGAACTTGCATTCTAGTGGGGGAGGCTCAGAAAAATTTAAAAAAAGCAAATAGCATATAATATAGTGTCAGGTAGTGATAATAAAGGGGAAAAAATAAGAGAAGGGACTCAGGGTGATAGGGGCTGCTATTTTAGATAGGGCGACCGTGGAAGTGGTTTTCTGTGTGTGTGACCTCACAGGTTTGTGAGCAGCAGTCAAGCTAACTTTGCTCAGAATTACTAAATGTACAAACACACATGCACATGCACACACACACACACACACACACACAGGTGCATACACATAGGCTTTCCCATAATTCACCCCTCAACATGTCCCCATTATATCCCCCTCTTCCACTGTCGCCACCCCTGCTATCCCTAAGCTTTGGGCTTTCTCTGTCTCCTGCTTTCTACATCTCCTGATTCTTTGAAGGTTTTCTATTTTCTTTCTCTTGTTCTGGGATTAGCCGGTGTACAGTCTGGCCAAGTGTGAGGTCCCTAGGCATCCCTGAATGCCTTATCTACTTTCTTTGCTAACTAAGGCTTGTATATATCTGCATTGTAGCTACAGTTCCTTATTTGGCCAATCCTCAGTATGATGATTTGGGGAAGGCAACATTTCTTCACTATTGAGAAAGATCTCATGTTGAGCTTTGTTTTTGAACTGCAATGTCCAAAGTGGGCAATTCAATGAAAGGGTAGTGCTGATTTAGTGGTATTAACTTATTACAAATTTTGGGCATTGTTTGTTCTTATCCATTCATTCAACTACTATTGATTGAGGCCCTTTTATATACCTGACATTATGCTAGATACTGGGGCTATAATTCTAGGTAAAAACAGACTCAGTTTATTTTTTATTATTATTATTATTTTTTTTTTTTTGAGACGGAGTCTTGCTCTTGTCACCCAGGATGGAGTGTAGTGGCGTGATCTCGGCTCACTGCAACCTCCATCTCCCGGGTTCAAGCAATTCTCCTGCCTCAGCGTCCCAAGTAGCTGGGATTACAGGTACCCACCACCATGCCTGGTTAATTTTTGTATTTTTTTTTTTAGTAGAGATGGGGTTTCACCATGTTGGCCAGGCTGGTCTCAAACTCCTGACCTCAGGTGATCCACCTGCCTCGGCCTCCCAAAGTGCTGGGATGTGAGCCATTGTGCCTGGCCCAGACTCAGTTTAATAATCAGACATTAATAATTACACAAATGAATGCATGATAACAATTGAAGAAACTAAAAGAGAAAATACAATGTTATGGGAGCACAAAACAAAAGAATTAATAGCCTGGTGGGTCCAATCTCAACACAGCCTTGAAAGGATGCCTGGGTTGAGATTTGAAAGATGGGTAAGTATTAACTAGAGAAGAGAGAAAGGGGTTTAATAGTGCATGCGAAAGTCCTGTAGGAGAAAAGGCATGAAGGAAGGTTGGTTGGAGATATTGGGCTGGTGCCAGACCATGCAGTGCAGAGCCTTGTAGGCTGAAGGATTTTTTTGATTGTTTGTTTGTTTTTTGAGCGGGATCTTGCTCAGTTGCCCAAGCTGGAGCACAGTAGCACAATCTCGGATCACTGCAACCTCTGCCTCCCGGGTTCAAGAGATTCTCCTGCCTCAGCCTCCCAAGTAGCTGGGACTACATGTGCACACTACCACACCCGGCTAATTTTTGTATTTTTAGTAGAGATGGGGTTTCACCATGTTGGCCAGGCTGGTCTCGATCTCCTGACCTCAAGTGATCCACCCGCCTGGGCCTCCCAAAGTGCTGGGATTACAGGTGTGAGCTACCGCGCCTGGCCTGCTCAAGGATTTTTTGGCTTTTATCTTTAGAGCAATTGGAAACCATTGAAGGGTTTTAAGCCAGCATGCCGTATAGTACAGATTGATGGTGTGGCCTCAAGCTAAAGCTCCTTGGAAGGGAGTGTGCAGTGTGGAGAACCATTCAGTGGATTTTGAAGATGTCAAAATGAGAGATAATTGTAGCTTGGACTAAGGTGGTGAGAAATTGATGGATTGGAAAAGTGTTGATGGAGTAGAATCCACAGGACTTGGTAACTCCAAGGTGGATGTCACCCTTTTGTTAAGTCCTTCCATTTATCTGATTGCTCTTGAGGTTTCTTTTAAGTGGTTGATTATTTATTATTTCATCCAGAATTTGTATAAAGAAAGATCAATAAATTTGTTTCTTCATGTTTGTTTAGTAAAGGGTGAGTATTTAAGGGTGCTTTCAGTGCTTCTGGGCCAAGGTGAAAAAAATGATGGTCATCATGTGCATTTCAGCACTCAGAAACACTATTGGCACAGGCAACCAAAATGCAAAAGCAAGACATATGAATTACAAGTCTGCACCTCAGCGGCTGAATAGCAAAGACTAATTCGGAAGAGGCCTTATGACCCAGGAAGACATACTTTAATTAATATCTTTATTGTCCTGTCAGGTAGGTTAACCCTCTGGATCCCATCAGTATTTGGCAGTGTTGGTCTTTATTCTTGGAATAGAAACTAGATTGTGTGTGTGTGTGTGTGTGTGTACATGTATGTGTGAGCATGTGTGCATGTACACAATATCCTCATGTGCATTTCATATATATGTTACCTACCAGATGTATTACATATGGATAATCATAAATAGAAAACATTAAGCTATTTATCAAAACCTCTCAAATGCCTACTCTGCATGCTGTCAGACCACAGTGATTCTGGAGAGGAAGTGTGCTCTGAGATGAATGATGGGGTTAATTAAAGGCAACTGGAAGGTGGCTTGTGAATTGGTGTTTGGTTCATTAAATGTTCAGTATATTTTACTTTCTGTCCAAAAGGAACCTTTTGATTACTGGAAAGTAAAATAGAAGCAGCTCCTGGGCAAACTGGCAAAAGCTTTGATGAGTATGTCAGATTAGGTTGTATCATTCAAAGTTGAACCACGATTGAAAGCTGTAGCTATAGCCTCTCTCCTTGGTGGTATAGCAGAGCTCTCCTGAACTGAACCATGATTGAAAGCTGTAGCTATAGCCTCTCTCCTTGGTAGTATAGCAGAGCTCTCCTGAACTGAACCATGATTGAAAGCTGTAGCTATAGCCTCTCTCCTTGGTGGTATAGTGGAGCTCTCCTGAACTTAATGTTGCTTCATTACCATGCACTCCATCATACAATGTTAAGGGACTGGATTGAAGTGAAACTTTGCGTAAGTGAGTTGGTCTCATACATTGGATAGGATAGCTTAATATAGTATTTAAATCCATTCCTTTCCCTTAGATGATTGGTACATCTCACATACTGATGGGCATCTCCACACGAGCTCTAATTTCTGATTTGTCCAAAGTGCACAGGCTTATTTTAATATTTGACTGTTAAAGATTGTCTTCAAACTCCTATAGGTTTCCTATATCATATATCAAAAAGATACTCATATCTGGCTGGGCGCAGTGGCCCACGCCTGTAATCCTGGCGCTTTGGGAGGCCGAGGTGGGTGGATTGCCTGAGCTCAGGAGTTCGAGACTAGCCTGGGCAACATAGTGAGACCCTGTCTCTACTAAGAATACAAAAAATGAGCAGGGCATGGTAGCGCTTGCCTATAGTCCCAGCTACTTGAGAAGCTGAAGCAGGAGAATCACTTGAACCCAGGAGGTGGAGGTGGCAGTGAGCTGGGATCGTGCAACTGCACTCCAGCCTGGGTAGCAGACTGAGACTCTGCCTCAAGAAAAGAAAAAAGAGAAGAGAAGAGAAGAAAAGAAACTCGTATATTTCTTAGGATCCATATATTTTCTGGGTCCCTTTCTGGGCCCTAGATCCTCATCTAACAAGCTCTCAAGTGTGGCTCATATTGAGAGCTTCTTAGAAATGCACAATCAGCCCCACTCAAGACTTTCCCAATCAGAATCTGCACCTTAGCAGGATCCATGGGCGATAGGATGCACCTTACAGATAGAGAAGCACTTTAACATACATGGTAAAATCAATTGAGTCTCTAGAAGCAGTGTGGGATGGGATTACAGACTGAATTATCTGAATCTAATTCAGATGAATTAGGTTTAGTGATCAATTTCTGGAAATATGTCTGATAAGCCCTCTGTGAGTAACAAGTTACTTTATGTCTCATTTTCCTCATCTAGATATGTGTGGGTCCTCTTTATACCACAGGGGTAGAGTGAGGATTAAATAAGTTAATGCCAGGATGGGCATTCACTGTACTTTTGGTAAAGACGGTGTGCCTTCTCTTCTTCCGGGGCTTACTGAGTAAGCTCTGTTACTCCCACTTGTCCCATATATCTGTGGTTTTGTTTTTACCTCATCTTGCTGTCTTCTCTTATTCTCATTCCCAAACTGTCTTTAGTTAGTTATTAATAATGTATTAAATTGTATTTAGATAGCCTCTAGCATCCAAAAGAGTAAGAGTGTAGTTACTTACCCAAGAGTGTAGTTTGCATGTTAGAGTTAGTTCCATAGGGTAGGTGAGACAAAATAGTAAAAGCCTCTGGGGATTTGATAAGGCATTGAACACACCAGCACAATTTTTGGTTCTTTTTTTATTACACCACAATATAGCTTTGATCTTGCAGATTATATAAGCTCCAAAGTACTTCATGATTGTTTTTATTATAGCCACACTGCACATGAATTTATATTCAGATATACCCATCCTATGGGAATAATGCTATTTTTTTAGCAGATTATTTTTTAAAGCAAACAAATGAATGTTCACTGGAAATCAGTGAGCACCTGGAGGGTCAGTTAGGAGGTGGTTGTTAAAAATATTGGGCTTTGCCTGTGGCTGGTGCTATAAGCTACGCTATTAAATATTGGTGCTACCATATAGGAAATAAAGGCAAATACAGCCGGGTGCGGTGGCTCACACCTGTAATCCCAGCACTTTGGGAGGCCGAGGCGGGCGGATCACGAGGTCAGGAGATTGAGACCATCCTGACCAACATGGTGAAACCCCATCTCTATTAAAAATACAAAAATTAGCTGGGTGTGGTGGTGGGTGCCTGTAATCCCAGCTACTCGGGAGGCTGAGCCAGGAGAATGGCTTGAACCCAGGAGGCAGAGGTTACAGTGAGCCAAGATCATGCCACTGCACTCCAGCCTGGTGACAGAGGAAGACTCTTGTCTCAAAAAAAAAAAAAAAAAAAAAAAAAAGGAAATAAAGGCAAATAAAAGCATTACCAGGATTTTAAATACAAATTAGAGTGGCACCTTTCCAATTTATATAGCATATTCTTTTTTTTTTTTTTTGTGAGACAGAGTTTCGCTCTTGTTGCCCAGGCTGGAGCGCAATGGCACGATCTCAGCTCACTGCAACCTCCGCCTCCCAGGTTAAAGCAATTCTCCTGCCTCAGCCTCCTGAGTAGCTGGGATTACAGGCATGTGCCACCACGCCCAGCTAATTTTTGTATTTTTGGTAGAGACAGGGTTTCTGCATGTTGGTCAGGCTGGTCTCGAACTCCCAACCTCAGGTGAGCCGCCTGCCTCGGCCTCCCAAAGTGCTGGGATTATAGGTGTGAGCCACCGCGCCCGGCCATATAGCATATTCTTTAGGTTAGCTAAAAATAAAAAAAAAAACAACTTGCCGTCTGCTTTTGAGTCTTTATTCCCATCACCTCTGCCCTGCCATACTACCTTGGTGAAGGGCTTCTAGAATATACTTGTGTGTCCTTTTTCTCTCTAATTAGAATGGTTGATGATTATATTGCTCTTTTACTACTCTGTTATGTTTTCTTTTGTTTCCTTGAGGTTGAGATGTCAAAACACGTAAATGGTCAGACTTTTTAGGCCCTTGCCACGTAGAACCTGTGTTTTCCATTTTCTTACTGTGCATTTGGTGCCTTTTGTATGCTAGTCATTATGTAAGGTGCTTTATCGGATTTACTTCGTCATTTTAGAAATTCAGTACTTTGCCTCAGATCATATAACCTAGTACATGGTGAGCTGGGATGGGAATCCAGATCTTGCTTGTCCTAAAGTCCGTGATTCCTGCAGCACTCCCACTGCCTGTATTGAGTCATTCTAATTTTCGTCTTTCCCCATGTACAGTTTCTTCAGTAACCTTGCTTAATGAATTGATTGGAAACCTGTTTTGGCTTTCAGAGGACTGAAATAAATTGTCTCTCCATACATTTTTAAGCAACCCAGGATCCTTTCTGATATGATCAAGCAACTAATGCTTGGTTGAACTAAGATGACTTTTACCATCACTTTGAAGTGAGAAAGTTCTGTTATTGACCTGTTTTCCTGTGTGAGTTTTGAAATGACATGTGTGCCTGCTATTAGAATCTGTTCCGTTCTTGATGATACTTGGTGTCCTAGAAATGTGTCAGACAATTTCTTGTTAATTTTGATGACTAAAATAGTGACGATAATATGAAAATCCTGTATTTTACTTTTATTTGTTCAGGTTGCCTCTGGGGATCAGTCAGTACAGTCAGAAAACTACTGATTGCCTTGAATGGCCGTAGCTCCCCTCTTTTCCCCTACTCAGTTGCCTTTTTGCAAATAAAAAGTACGTGAGGGATTGATTCCGTAGGGGTTTCTTTTGGTTGTTTTTTTGACAGTAGTTTTTACATTCGGCACAGATTTTTAAAATGCACTAAAATAATGTTCTTCAAGATATGATTTGGACTGTGCAGTCATGTCACGTCTCACTTATTTTTCCCTCTCTTTCTCCCCCTTTGCAGGATGATGAAGTGGTTCTGCAGTGCACCGCAACCATCCACAAAGAACAACAGAAGCTATGCTTGGCAGCAGAAGGATTTGGCAACAGACTTTGTTTCTTGGAGTCCACTTCCAATTCCAAGGTGGGATGAAGTCTTTCAAGGCTATTCAAATATGCAAGTTTTACTAGTGGCATTGAAGTTATTTATGAGCTCTCTACTATTTTCTGTGGAATACATACTATATAAATGAAAGGGATATAACAATGTTTTCCATCTCCATTTTGCTGATTTTTAATTGAGTCTCTCCTGGGTACAAAGAACTAGGGATAAGATTATTAGCAAGAACACAGAAAGTCCTTGCCCCATGAGGTTTATATTCTAGTAGAAAAGCAAACAAGTAAATCAGTGATATAATTTGAAAACTGATAAGGGCTAGGAAGATTTAATGGATTATTAAGTTTGTAAAGGAACCAATAGTCTTAGGCTCATTGTATTTTTTTATAAGATAGACTTTCAATTTTCCATATTAACGAAAAGTCAAAACTCTAAATCCCAGTTCATGTTTAAAATACGTAAACCTGGGTCTAGATGCAGTTCACATAGATATATCTGGATTTGACTTTCATTGGTAGAAAATGGGATATGGCTTTTTTTTTTCCTCAAAGTGTTATCTCTTGCATTGATCATAAAGGGCAAAGGACAGAAAGATTGTTGGTAGTAAGTAGTCAGATACTGTAAATTATAGATATACTCTTTGAAATGAGCCCAGCAATATCTTAAGCTACAGAATTTTAAAATCAAAGGCAGAACTAACTTTTTGAGACAATCGCTCCGAGGATATTTATTCTTTTAGGCTGATCTTTGCCTAAAAGAGAATGGTTCATAATATCAGCATAGATTTTCTTGCAGAAATATAAACACTTAATTCTGTTGATATGTTTTGATTAATTATTCCTGATTCCTAATTGTGGATATTTACTGTATGTTCTGTATATGAATGAATTTTCATCTGTGTCTCTATATTTCAGAAATTAGAAGTTGAGGTTTTGCTTTTAGGAACTATTCACTTTGAGACAGACCTACCTTGTTATTATTAAAAATTCAGGGAGAAATGAAGCCTTATCAAAAAGGCATAGTTTTTCATCTCTTTGAATCTCCACATGCAACCAGAAAGAGCTATGAAGAGGGTAAAACTCACAGCCACAGACAATACAGTATCTAAGACAAACTAAGTGGCAAGTTATTCCTACGTATGGTGTCAGTAAATGTATAGGAGGAAGTGCAAGAGAGGTGACATGATTTCTATTGTCTCTGAAAGTCAGTGACAAATCCTTGCTGGAAAGCCTGGTGGGCCAATGTGAAAACAGTAACCACTCCAGGCACGGTGTCTCATGCCTGTAGTCCCAGCACTTTGGGATCCAAGGCAGGCGGATCACTTGAGGTCAGGAGTTCAAGACCGGTCTGGCCAACATAGTGAAACCCTGTCTCTATTAAAAATACAAAAATTAGCTGGGTGTGGTAATGCACACCTGTAATCCCAGCTACTTGGGAGGCTGAGGCACAAGAATCCCTTAAACCCAGGAAGCGAAGATTGCAGTGAGCCAAGATCGCACCACTGCACTCCAGCCTGGGTGACAGAGCAAGATTCTGTCAAAAAGAAAAGAAAAAGAAAGAGAACTAAGAGGAAGCAAAGGAACCATGGCATAGTGAGGTGAGACGTTTCTGGAGTAACCTTGGCCCTATGGACTTTTATAGCTAACTATGTAAAACTCCCTTACAGGTCAAAGTCCTCCTCTGAGGAGAAATTGCAGGGGCGATAGAGGCAAAGGATAGAGAAGGATCGAACCAAAAAAAAAATAGAGGGGGGAAGCAGAACCCATAGATTTCATAAGAGGCCATGTTTCAAGTAGTGGGGAGAACCACAGAACAAGGAGCTCTAGAGCTGTAAAGCTGAAAAAAAGGCTACACTCTCTCTTCTCCCTAAGAGTATAAGAAAAAGCATTTCAATTTTTGTCTGGACATTTGATGTGCTTGTGTTGCCTGTAGACATTATAATTTTATAATATATATAATTATGTATAATTTATATATATTAGTGGAGTAATCTAATTTATATAATTATAATTATGCTTAATATATAATTTATATGTGTATATATTGTTTTATATATAAAAAGAGAATAAGAAGCAGAATAATATCTAAAGGTAATAAAGGTCAACTAGTTAAATAAACATAACTATTTAAAAATGAACTAAAAGAAATTAAAAAAATAAGAGACACTATGAAAGAGCAACATACATTCTTAACTCAGAAACAAGATGAGTAGAGAACAGAGATTTGGAAAAGGGAGCTGAATAACAGGCCAGAATTCCAAATTAAAGAAAAACTAATTTTAGACCTGGAGACTGCATGAGAAGGGACACCAGAGCACGTAAACCCACAGCTTAACATCTGTAGAGATATAGAAGATGGAAAAGTGAAAACCTTTGAAAATCCAAAGGAAATGATTTTATGGAAGACGATTTTCCCATGAACCGGGGCTGGAGGGTGTTTTGGGGATGATTCAAGCACATTACATTTATTGTGCACTTTATTTCTATTATTATTACATTGTAATATATAATAAATTCTAGAACTCACCATAATGTACAATCAGTGGGAGCCCTGAGCTTGTTTTCCTGCTACTAGATGGCTATATCTGGGGGTGACAGTGACAGATCGTCAGGCATTAGATTCTCATAAGAGGGTGTGCAACCTAGATCCCTTGCATGTGCAGTTCACAATAGGGTTTGCACTCCTGTGAGAATCTAATGCTGCTGATGATCTCACAGGACGCAGAGCTCAGGTGGCCAGTGAGGGGGAGCAGCTGTACATACAGATGAAGCTTGCCTGCTGCTCACTTCCGGCTCTGTGGCCTGGTTCCTAAGGGGCCACTGACTGGCACTGATCCATGGCCCAGGGGTTGGGGACCCCTGCCCCAAGAAAACCAAATTGCAGTACAGACTGTGGCACGAGGAATGGTGGTGAGCATTCAAGACACATTTCCCCAAGGAACTGAGATGGAATGATGGTTTTAGGGGAGAGTGTCTTATGGAATGGCTCTGTCCTCTGACAAGGTTAAGTAAGTATGACTACCAAAAATGGGAGAGTGGGTATAGTTTATAAAAATTCAACTTCCTGATTGCTTTATAGATGTAGTCTAAAAGTAAATATAACTTTCACCAGAGATAAATAATATATTAGCTATTTGCAATATTGGTCATAGAACTAAGAAATAGTAATCAAAAAGAGAAGGTCTTAAGAATATTATTTAAAAATATGAGTGTTAGGGAAGCCCAAACTTCCTAAACAAAAGAGATATATAAAAATATATTTATATATTGTATATTTTATGAACATATGTATATTATAAATGATATAATAAACATAACAAAACATACAAGTATTATAAAATATATATTATATATTTATATTATATAACGCATATATTAAATATATTTATATTATAAATTAATGTACATTCATGTTTATTAAGAAATACATATATATTTTATATTATATATAATATTTATAATATATTATAAATATACCTTTATATTATATATATTTAATGTAGATATATGATAATGTAGATATATATGATATGTAGGTATTACATATGATAACTATATATTTCTATTTAAATATAAAAATGCATATTTAATGTACATATTATATATGATATGTATATCCTATGTATATGTGTATATATGTATCACGTATATACATATGACACAGCTGTATGCCACATACCACATATATGACAGTGGTCCCATAAGATCATAATGGAGCTGAAAAATTCCTATTGCCTAGTGATGTCTGGATGATTTCAATCTTGTGTAGGCCTACAATGATGTGAATTTGAGTCTTAGTTTTTAACAAAAAAGTTTAAAAAGTAAAAAAAAATTAAAAAATAGGAAAGAGGTGTCTAGAACAAAGATATAAAGAAAATATTTTCATACAGCTGTGTTTGTATTTTAAGCTAAGTGTTATTACAAAAATAAAAAAGCTAACAAAATTAAAGTTTATAAAGTAAAAAGTTACAATAAGCTAAGGTTAATTTATCATTGAACAAAGAAAATTTTAAAAATAAATTTAGTGCAGCCTAAGTGTACAGCGTTTATAAAGTTTGCAGTAGGGTAGTGTCCTAGGCCTTCACATTCACCCACCACTCACTCACTGACTCACCAGAGTAACTTCCGGTCGTGCAAGCTCCATTTATTGTAAGGTGTCCTATATAGGTGTACCGTTTTTTACCTTTTATATCACATTTTTACTGTACTTTTTCTATTTTGAGATATGTTTATATAAACAGATACCACTGTGTTACAGTTGCCTCCAGTATTCAGTATAGTCATGTGTTGTACAGGTTTGTAGCCTAGGAGTAATAGGCTATACCGTACATACCTAGGTGTATAGGAGGCTGTACCATTTAGGTTTGTATTACATACACTCCATGATGTACACATAATGATAAGATCACCTGATGACACATTTCTAGCATGTGTCCCCATCATTAAGTGATGCATGTCTGTATATATATATCATCCATGGGTGATGCACACACACACATACACGCACACACACACACACACACATACACACCGCACACATAAAATGTTTTAAATAAAAGGAAAATTTTCATTTTAAATAAAAATGAAATTATATATTTATAGTATTTTTTAATTAAAATATGCATTTTAACAATCTAGGAGAATTGAGGCCAAAGTGTATTGATTATATAAACAATTATAAGTGAGTTTGACTTACCTATTAAAATAAGAACTTAAAATTATAAGCATGACTACAAAGCCAAATCTAACACTATGTATACAAAAACAAAGGCATTCAGAAAGGGAAAAATAAAAGGATAGACAAGGATATACCAAGAAATGCAAACAAAAAGAAAGCAGATGTCTTTATCTCATTATTTGACAAGGCATAATTTAGACTAAAAAACTTTGAGACAAAGAAGGATTTTTTTTTTATCATGCCAAAGGGTACATTTCTCAATGAAGACAAAGTAGTTTCATGGCCCCAATAACAGATACAACTTTTACAAAGTAGAAACCTCAGAAGTTGCAAAGAGAAACGTAGAAACATACCAATAATAAGAGACGTAACACACTTCAACTTGAAAAAAATAAGTACAATGCTTAGCATAATCAATAAGGTTGACCTTATAGAGATATGTCAAAATCTGAACCTCAAAAATAGAATATACCTTTCTTTAAAGTTCACATACCATATTAAAGAATATTGACAATATTTTAGGCCACAAAGAAAACTTCAGTAAGTTCCAAAGAATAGGAATAATACAAATATAACTATAAAGAAACTAGAAGTTAATTTTTTAAAAAGCAAAAACAAAATCAGCCCCCTAAAAAATAAAAACCACACAAAAGACTTTTCTATCTGAAAATTAAAATGTACACTATTAATTAAATCTTGGGTCAAAGGCAAAATAAAATTGAAGAGTTTCTTGAACATCATGATAATGAACATGTGATGTTTTAGAATGCATGGGATATAGCTAAAGAAGTTATCAGAATAAAATCTATAGCATTAAATGCATATATTCGTATTTTATTTTATTTTTTTTTGAGATGGAGTCTCGCTCTGTTGCCCAGGTTGGAGCGTGGTAGCACGAACTCGGCTAACTGAAACGTCCACCTCCTGCATTCAAGCAATTCTCCTTTCTCAGCCTCCCGAGTTGCTGAGATTACAGGCACCCACCACCATGCCTGGCTAATTTTTGTATTTTTAGTAGAGACGGGGTTTTGCCATGTTGGCCAGGCTGGTCTAGAACGCCTGACCTCAGGTGGTCTGCCTGCTTTGGCCTCCCAAAGTGCTGAGATTACAAGCGTGAGCCACCACGCCTGGCCTCAGTGCATATATTATTAAAAATGAAAATTTAAATCAATGAATTAAACAACCAGATGAAAACTGGGAGAAGAACAACAAAGCAAAATAAAGCAACAAAATGGTATTAATAAAGATAAGAAAGAAATTGCTGAGTTAATTCTGAAAATTGGTCCTTTGAAAAAAATCATCAACATAGACAAACCATGAATTAGCCTAATCAAGGATAAAGGGAGTACAAATATTTGATTATTAGAAGTTACATATGAGTTGGAAGGGGATAATGATCACAAAAGGAAATTAAGTCATAAGGGACCATTTGTCTAACTACATACAAGTGAACTTTAAAATCTTCATGAAATGAATAATTTCAAGAAAATAAAAATTTACCACATTAAGTTCAAACAGACCAATTATCATAAAATAAATAGTGTGGTAGAAGTATTCCCTGACAAGACACGCGCCAAGGTCGGATACTCCCTACTTAACTATGTTCCTTAAATTATTCCAAAGCATAATAAAAGAAGGAAAAGTTTCAAATTTATTTTGTCAAGTAAATGTAATTTAAATTTCAAAATTAAGAAAAAATTTTTTGCAAAGGTAATTTATAGATCGATTTCAGTTTTATTGATACAGAAATTTTCTGAGATAAAATATTTTAAATAAACCAATGTTGCATTAAAATCTTTATCATGACCAGTGAAGGTTATTCCAGGAATCCAAGAATAGCTCAATACGATAAATCAATTAATATAATTCTTCATATTAGGAAAGATAAGGAGAAAAATCCTTTGAACTTACTCATAGGGAAAAGGCACTGAACAAAATTTAAATTCTATTTATGTTTAAAAAATAATAAAATACCTCCTTAACATTATTTTATAAGCGCATGTGCACACACACGCTTCAGTTCAAAATCAGCACTTTCTTTAAGGTAGTACACTAGCAGTTAAAGTCAGGTGTAAGTTAAGGATGTCCAGCATGCCCTCTGCAATACATGCCTGTGTTGGAGGTATGAGCCAATGTGATTAGACACTGAAGATCAGACATGGAGAGGTAAAACTATTTCTAGATGTAGATGATTTGATTATATACCTAAAATTCCCAAAAATTAATCAGTGGAAAAGCTGCTATAGGAGTGGATTGATGAGAGAAATCCATAATGTAGCAGGTTATAAAATCAATGGCCACATAACCTGGCAACATAGCGAGACCCTGTGTCTCTACAAAACTAAAAAATTAGGCGAGGTTTGGTCTCTAAAGACCAGACCCTGTCTCTACAAAAATTTAAAAATTAGCTGGGTCTGGTGGCATGTGCCTGTGGTCCCAGCTACTCAGGAGGCTGAGGCAGGAGGATTGCTTGAGCCTAACAGTTTGAGGCTGCAGTGAGCCGAGATCGTACCACTGCATTGCAGCCTAGGTGACAGAGTGAGACCCTGTCTCAAAATAAGTAACTAAATAAACAAACAAAAAATAATAGCCTTAGGCCAACTGTTCACAAATATAAAGTCATTAAGCCTTAACACTATGTTTATTTGCTATTTTTGATAATATTACTAATGTATTTATTATGTTTTTATCATGTATACATGTGCTAATAAATTAATTTCCTATATGTGTGTTACATCAGTAAATTTTTGAGGATCATAGATTTGAAGTGCTGTTTCTGTTTTTCTTTGTGGATTTTTTTGTTATTGTTGTTTTGTTTTTTTGAGTCAGGATCTGGCTGTTTTGCCCAGGCTAGAGTGAAGTTGCATGATCTTGGCTCACTGTAGTATCTGCCTCCTGGGCTCAAGCAGTCTTCCCACCTCAGCCTTCCAGGTATCTACGACTACAGGCACACACTACTATGCCCAGCTAATTTTTGTATTTTTTTTTTTTTTTTTTTTTTTTTTGTAGAGATAGGGTTTCACTGTGTTGCCCAGGCTGGTCTCAAAGTCCTGGGCTCAAGCGATCTTCCTTCCTCAGCCTCCCAAAGTGCTGAGATTACAGCTGTCAGCCACCGTACCTGCCTGGGAATTTTTTTAAAGCTCAAATTGGATAAGAGGGTTATAGGAATATATTCATCTATCATATAGAAAAGAATATGTGCTCAGTCCCAGGAAATAGAAAATATATTACCTTATTTATACTGTTTTAATTAATGCTTTTTAAAATCTGATTAACTCTGGGAGATAGTAGGATAGAATAAAATGATTTCTGAGTAGGAGATAAGTGAATATAATTTGTACTCCTGAGAGCTGGTGTTAAATTTTTGCAACCCAGTTTTACTCATGGGCAGACCTTTTTAAAAGGAAACACCCACAGTCTGTATGAATTTGATTCTCGTGTGGATAGTATAGACTTAAGCACTGAACATGGTCTGAGCAGGTTTGCTTTGCTGCTTACCAGCGATTATAGTGGAAAATCCTACTCCTGGATATAGCAGCTCTGTAATAATAGCCACTGTCAGGACTTATTAGGGAATTGCTCTTCGTTTCTCCTTTTCATTTATAATCACTTTATAATCAGTAAAATATTTGATTAAGTGGAATAACTGCCAGTTAAACTAATGTTCCTTTGATAATATTTGGGTTATTCTAGGGTTTTAAGTTGAATTAGATCAAGAAACAATTCATAATTGGTGTTCAGTGGTTACAGTCAGTATATTTAATATACGAGCAGATTTTAAATAAATGCTATATGTTTTTTTCATAGAGCAGAATAACTTTAATCCACTGAAATGGATCAGACTAGTTTGAGTTTCCTCTTCAAGGACTGAGGATGTTTAAACAATGATCATAAGAAAAGCGGGCTAAATAAAACTGCCTTTACACTTTTCTGAAGGATTGCTATAGTATTTGGCTTGACAGTTTCACTGGGGACTAATTTATTTGGCTTTTCATGTTCATGACAGGGTGCAGTTTATAATAATAAGCAATGGTTAACACAAATCATTTTATAAGACTCTCTATACTGCTGAGTCTCACCTTGTTCAGATGATCTAAAACTCATGACAATAAGTACTTAAAAAATAATTAATATCTAATTTTATACTAAATTAAATTCTGATGATTGCACCACTGTACTCCAGCCTAGGCAACAGAGTGAGACTCTGTCTCAATCAATAAATCATTAAATCAATTAATTAAATCTCAAATTCTACTGGATTATTAAGCAGTGATAGTTTTTAAGTGTTTGAGAATGATTATTATAGAAATTTTTAATTGAGCAAAAAGTTTTGCAAAACTGGGAAAGATTTTAGCATCGTTACACAAGGTTGAACCTCATGCAACACCAGGATTTCATAGGAGCACAGTTTTATACAGATGAGGACCATTGTTTTATGCAGATGTGACAATTGAATCAATAGTCATGCAGTGCTGCCCCTACAAAAGGGACATTCATTAAAAAACAGTAAAAGCCATTCTTATTTAATTATCTCACTGCTTCAAGCATAGTTTTCTGGTATTCATCATCGTGGACTCTGGATAGAGGCAGTAAGAGGATCTTTGAGATCTGTTGCATCCAATATTTCAATTATTCTGTATTTCTGAGACTGATACACATTCACAGTATGTATGAAACAGTATTGTTGATTTTTATCAGGTTTCCAAAAAGGAAGCTGGGCCTTGTAGATGTAACAATATCAAGAGCTCTTTCTGTTTCTTCCAATTTCTATGGCGTCACTTTAATTAAAAGTATTTCTTCTCATAATGGAACATGATAGAGCAATACTTTATATTCGGTGACTTCTCATTATTCACCAGCATAAATAATGCATTAAGATATTAATGATGCATAATAGTTGTGATATTCCAGATGAACTGATCTTCTTATTCAAGTGAGAATTTTTGAATAATAAAAATGTCGGTATAAGATAAATGCTAGATGATGTAAGAAAGATTCACTTCATATATAGTTTATGAACCATCTTAAACAGCAGATACTTGTTTCTTGACGATTTCTCTAAAAATTAATTGAAATAATAAAACAATTATAAGGAAATAAATATTAACATTATTGCTGTTTCTTCTCTCTACTTTATTCATTTTGACTTTCACAGAATTTTGTTTGTGCAAATGAGAGGCAAAAGAAAGACCACTGTTTTGTAAAGAATATAAATTATCAATAACTATATTTTTCAATATTCTTATGTTTCAGTTATATAATATTTATTTCCCAATATTTTTAGAGAAAAATAAAGTAGATGGTAAGTGTGGCAGAAAGGAAATATCCTAATATTTTGTGACTATCTTGTCAATGTAGAATAAGTGATTAGATACTTGAACAGAGTTCCGATAGAACAGAAGAGTTGAAAGAAAATATTTAACAGTTTTCTTGGCAGATTGTTGAATTGGACCTGAATGGAACTGCTTGTTAAATTGTGATTCATAAGTTATGTGGAAATAATTCTTCTTACTGGTTTTTTTTTTTTTTGTTTTCTGAGATGGAGTCTCACTCTGTCTCCCGGGCTGGAGTGCAGTGGTGCAATCTCGGCTCACTGCAACCTCCACCTTCTAGGTTCAAGTGATTCTCCTGCCTCAGCCTCCTGAGTAGCTGGGATTACAGGCACGCACCACCACACCTGGCTAATTTTTGTATTTTTAGTAGAAATGGGGTTTCACCATGTTGGCCAAGCTGGTCTCGAACTCCTGACCTTAGGTGATCCGCCTGCCTCAGCCTCCCAAAGTGCTGGGATTTCAGGCATGAGCCACCACGCCTGGCCTCTTTTTAGTATTTTTAACATGCATTTATGCTGGTATCCAGTTAAGGTAGAGTGGTGACACAAAGGGCAAAGATGACATAATTGAAATTCCCAAAATAGAAGGCATTTTATGGAATACTTGAATTACATACCTAATTTTATACTAAATTAAACTCCAGTGAGGAATACAACATCAGTGTCTTGCCTTATGATGCCTTACGCCTTATGATGTGAACTAAAGACTCATTCTGGAAATTTTTAAAAGATTTTAAAGAATTCTCATTGTAGTCATAGGTGAGCTCCTAATTTCCCATTATGTTTCTCATAAGATGTAGAAAATGAAGCAACATGAAAACTTAGGAAAACACTGATGTCTAAGAGATCTCCATTAATTATAAGGCAGATGAAACTTGTTGGAAAAAACCTACCTGGAGTTCACCTCTTGCACACAGTTTCATCTCAAACACTGCAAAAAGATTGGCAGATATTTTAATCCACCTAACCTGTCAGCTTCAGCCAAAGGGGGCTGTGCTTACAAAGTGCGTAGCCAGTTTTTGTTCCTTCCTTCTGCTCTGCTGCATCCCGTCAGTGCAGACTCCCCCCAGATGGTGCAGGCATTGGTAGGCAGTAAGCTGGTGATGACCCATTCTGTTCTGGAAGCCTTAGTTCTCACAAATACAATGCTGAGGGCTTATTGCAAACAGGAACAGCACTGGTGGAAGTACAGAATAGGGATTGTGGTTTTGATGATGGTGTATCCATTGTAATAACAGAGAACAGAACTAAGGGTAGGGGAAGGAGAAGCTGTTAATTCAGATGGTCAGAGCTGAATTAAGTGAATGTTTGTGAAAAACTGAAAACTACACTTGGAGTATATACTGCAGAGGGCCCGCTGCCACCGTTAGAACCCTGGTAACAGAGTATATACTACAGAGTGCCTGCTGCCACTGTTAGAACCCTGGTTATAGAGTATATACTGCAGAGTGCCCGCTGCCACTGTTAGAAGCCTGGCTATAAAGTATATACTGCAGAAAGTATATACTTTCTGAATCTAAGAGTATGATTTAGCCATCACTGGAGTGAACACACTGCAGCAAATGAAGCTCTAACACAGAAGTTGGCGCATTTTTTTTTTTTTCTGTATAGAGCCAGATGGGAAATATTTTAGTTTTGTGGGTCAGATGTTTTCTATTCAGCTTGGACATTGCAGTGTGAAAGTGGCCGTGGACCATATGTAAACAGATGAACATGGCTGTGTTCCAAAAAACCTGTACTTACGGGCACTGAAAATTCAATTTCATATTTTCATGTGCCATAAAATATTTTTTTCTTTTTCTTGCAATTTTTTTTCAACTGTTGAAAAATGTGCAAGCCATTCTTAACTCTTGGGCTGTGATTTGGTCCATGGCCATGATGTGCTTAGCCCAGCTCTAACATATGGAAAGTATTATATTGCTAAAGGGAAAGCTAGACAAATAAAATGGGAGCAACTGTCAGAGATATGATAGAGGCAAAGTTTGCTGCCAATAGGTTAGATGCACTTGCCCTCCTAAAGCTGGGAAGGAGAATACTTATGTCAGGAGCTACTGGTGAAGTTTTATGAAAGTATAGGGATGGCATTTGAGTGGGACTCCTTGACAGATGGTACTTAAGTTAATGAATGTTTTTGATGTTTGAAAGGATGAGAGAATAAATGGGTAAAATACGAATATAGCTCAATAGAGTGTGATATAGAAGGAAGCATTTCATAAGGAGAATGAGAACAAAGGCATAGAGAAGAAGCATTTGTTGGTGGCTGGGAACTCCCAAGTGTTCTGCTGAGGGGTAAAGTCAGGTTTCAAATGCCATGTAACCAGCACAACTTTATTTGAAAGATGAAGGGAGCTTCTGAAAGCTTTCTAACAGTGGATTGCATTATTTCACCTGTTGCCACTTGCCAATTTGCACACTTAGACATGCATAAACAACCCTGGAGGTATAAACCTCCAGTTGGGTTTTAATAAAAGATGACATGCCTTTGGATATACTCTGTTCTCGCTCTTCCTGGAAGACCCTTGCGCGTTCTTCACCTGAAGGAAGTCTCTTCATTGTTTAGGTATCTGTCAAATGTTTTTTCCTTTGTAAAGTCTTCCTGTGTTTACAATGCATCTCCCTCCTTTATGACAAATAATTCTGTTTTCTTTCTTGCTTGCCTGTCTACCTGGTTGCTTTCTATTTCCTTCTCTTCCTCTCTTTCTCATTCACTTGATCGCTTTTTCTCTTTTTCTTCCTCCCTCCCACGCTCCTCTCTTTCAAGCAAAATTAATTCCTCCTTTGACTGCGTAACTTGCTGCTAACTCATGTGTCCCTTTACATTTACTTTGGCGTTTCTCAAATTATGAAAGCACCTGCAGGCAGAGACAGCCTCTCAGTCATCTTGTATCTCAGGTACATAATACAGTTTTGAAGGAAGTAGAGCCTCAATAAATGTGCATTGATTTTTGACTGGATTTCCTTATTTAGGCTAATAATATTGATGTATCCATTTTGGCAGTTTATCAGTTCATTTGACTTTTTATATCCTACTGTACTCTCCAAAGAATACACAGCCACTGTCTTCCTGTTTCAAGGAATTTAATGTTTTCAAGGTTGCTGGAGTAAATATTCATATTTGTTACTATAATAATGCTTAATCCTATATAGATTGATAATGGTCTTGGTATAGTACATTTGTAGTAATATTTAATTTACTACTTGGTATCAATTTCTTTTTTTCCGTAAGTTACTGGAGTACAGGTGGTATTTGGTTACATGAGTAAGTTCTTTAGTGGTGATTTGTGAGATTTTGGGGCACCCATCACCTGAGCAGTATACACTGCACCATATTTGTTGTCTTTTATCCCTCATCCTCCTTCCACTCTTCCCCTGAAGTTCCCAAAGTCATATCATTCTTATGCCTTTGCATCCTCATAGCTTAGCTCCCACATATCAGTGAGGACATACGATGTTTGGTTTTCCATAACTAAGTTACTTCACTTAGAATAATAGTCTCCAATCTGGCCAGGCGTGGTGGCTCACGCCTGTAATCCCAGCACTTTGGGAGGCCGAGGCGGGTGGATCACCTAAGGTAGGGAGTTCGAGACCAGCCTGGCCAACATGGAGAAACCCCATCTCTACTAAAAATACAAATCAGCCGGGCGTGGTCGCGGGCACCTGTAATCCCAGCTACTTGGGAGGCTGAGTAATGAGAATTGCTTGAACTGGGAGGCGGACGTTGCAGTGAGTCGAGATTGCGCCACTGCACTCCTGCCTGGGCGACAACAGTGAGACTCCATCTCAAAAAAAAAAAAAAATAGTGTCCAGTCTCATCCAGGTCACTGCAAATGCTGTTAATTCATTCCTTTTTATGGCTGCATAGTAATCCACTATATATACATATATATAATATATAAAATATATATAAAATATATATAATATATGTATTGTGTGTATATATATAGTGTGTGTATATATATATTCCACCATATATATACACACACACCCACACACAGACCCACACACACATACACACCACAGTATGTAGTATATATGTATAGTGTGTGTATATATATATATATTCCACCATATATATATATATATGTACACACACACACACCCATAAACACCCCCCCACACACACAGCACAGTTTCTTTATCCACTTGTTGAAGATGGGCATTTTTTTATTATTATTATTATTTTCTGCAGCTATTGTAAAAGGGGTCGAGTTCTTGATTTGATTCTCTGCTTGGTTGCTGTTGGTGTATAGAAGAGCTACTGATTTGTGTACATTGATCTTGTATCCAGAAACTTTGCTTAATTCTTTTTATCAGTTCTAGGAGTTTTCTGGAGGAGTCCTTAGGGTTTTCAAGGTAAACGATCATGTCATCCGCAAACAGTGAAAGTCTGACTTCCTCTTTACTGATTTGGATGCCCTTTATTTCTTCCTCTTGTCTGATTGGTCTGGCTAGGACTTCCAGTACTATGTTGAAGAGGAGTGGTGCAGGTGGGCATCCCTGTCTTGTTCCAGTTCTCAGATGGAATGCTTTCAACTTTTCCCCATTCAGTATTATGTTGGCTGAGGGTTTGTCTTAGATGGCTTTTATTACATTAAGGTATGTCCCTTGTATGCTGATTTTGCTGAGTTTTAATCATAAAGTGATGCTAGATTTTGTCGAATGCTTTTTCTGCATCTATTGAGATGATCATGTGATTTTTGTTTTTAATTCTGTTTATATGGTATATCACATTTATTGACTTGCATATATTAAACCATCCCTGCATCCCTGGTATGAAACCCACTTTATCATGGTAGATTATCTTTTTGATATGTTGTTGGATTCAGTTAGTATTTTGTTGAGGATTTTAGCATCTATGTTCATCAAGGATATCAGTCTGTAGTTTTCTTTTTTGGGTATGTCCTTTCCTGGTTTTGGTATTAGGGTGATACTGGCTTCATAGAATGAATTAGGGAGGGTTCCTTCTTTCTCTATCTTGTAGAATAGTATCAAAAATATGGGTACCAATTCTTCTTTGAATGTCTGGTAGAATTCGGCAGTGAATCTGTCTGGTCCTGGACATTTTTGTTGTTGGTAATTTTTAAATTACCATTTCAATCTCACTGCTTGTTATTGGTCTGTTCAGGGTATCTAACTCCTCCTGATTTAAGCTAGGAGGGTTGTATTTTTCCAGGAATTCATCTGTCTCTTCTAGGTTTTCTAGTTTATGTGTGTAAAGATGTTCATAGCAGCCTTGAATGATCTTTTGTATTTCAGTGGTGTCAGTTGTAATATTTCCCGTTTTGTTTCTTAATGAGGTTATTTGGAGTTTCTCTCTTCTTTTCTTCATTGATCTTGCCAATGGTCTATCAATTTTAGTTATCTTTTCAAAGAACCAGCTTTTTGTTTTATCTTTTGTATTTCTTTTCTTTCAATTTCATTTAGTTCTGCTCTGATCTTGGTTATTTCTTTCTTCTGCTGGGTTTGGGTTTGGTTTGTTTTTGTTTCTCTAGTTCCTTGAGGTGTGTCCTTAGAGTGTCAGTTTGTACTCTTTCAATATTTTTGATATAGACATTTAGGGCTATGAACTTCCCTCTTAGCACCACCTTTGCAGTATTTCAGAGGTTTTGATAGCTTGTGTCATTATTGTTGTCTGGTTCAAATAATTTTTTGATTTTCATCTTGGTTTCGTTTTTGACCCAATGCTCATTCAGGAGCAGGTTATTTAATTTCCATGTATTTGCATGGTTTTGAAGGTTCCTTTTGGAGTTGATTTCCAGTTTTATGCCACTGTGGTCTGAGGGATTGCTTGATATAATTTCAGTTTTCTTAAATTTATTGAGCCTTGTTTTATGCCCTATCATATGGTCTATCTTGGAGAAAGTTCCATGCGCTTTTAATAGAATGCAGTTGTTGGATGAAATGCTCCGTATATATCTGTTAAGTCCATTTCTTCCAATGTGTAGTTTAAATCCATTCTTTACTTTTTGTCTCCTTTAACTGTTGTTGCTTTAAAATTTGTTTTGTCTGATATAAGAATAGCTACCCGTACTTGTTTTTGGTGTACATTTGCATGAAATGCCTTTTTCCACCCCTTTACTTTAAGTTTATGTGAGTCCTTATGTATTGGGTGAGTTTCCTGAAGGCAGCAGATGGCTGGTGAGTTCTTATCCATTCTGTGGTTCTATATCTTTTGAGTGGAGCATTTAGGCCATTTACATTCAATGTTAGTATTGAAATGTGAGGTACCCTTGCATTCATCCAGCCCTTTGTTGCCTGTGTACTTCATTTTTTAAATATGTTTTTGCTTTTTAACTTGTATTTTTGTTTTATAGGTCCTGTGTGATTTATGCTTTAAAGAGGTTCTGTTTTGATGTGTTTCCAGGATTTGTTTCAAGATTCTGAGCTCCTTTTAGCAGTTCTTGTAGTGGTGGCTTGGTGATGGTGAATTCTCTCAGCATTTGTTTGTCTGAAAAAGACTGTATCTTTCCTTCATATATGATGCTTAGTTTTGCTGGATACAAAATTCTAGGCTGTTTGAGGAGGCTGAAGATACGGCCCCAGTCGCTTCTGGCTTGTAGGGTTTCTTCTGAGAAATCTGCTGTTAATCTGATAGGTTTTCCTTTATAGGCTACCTGGTGCTTCTGTCTCACAGCTCTTAAGATTATTTCCTTCATCTTAACTTTGGATAACCTGAGGACAATGTGCTTAGGTGAAGATCTTTTTGAGATGAATTTCCCAGGTGATCTTTATGCTTCTGTATTTGGATGTCTACGTCTCTAGCAAGGCCAGGGAAGTTTTCCTCAATTATTCCCCAAATATGTTTTCCAAGGTTTTAGATTTCTCCTCTTCCTCAGGAACACTGATTATTCTTAGGTTTGGTTGTTTAACATAATCCCAGACTTCTTGGAGGCTTTGTTCATATTTTCTTACTCTTTTTTCTTTGTCTTTGTTGGACTGGCTTAATTCGAAGACCTTGTCTTCAAGGTCTGAATTTCTTTCTTCTACTTGTTCAATTCTATTGCTGAGACTTTCCAGAGCATTTCACATTTCTAAAAGTGCATCCAAGGTTTTCTGAATTTTTGATTGTTTTTTCTTTAAGCTATCTAATTCCTTGAATATTTCTCCCTTCACTTCTTGTATCATTTTTTGTATTTCCTTGCACGGGGCTTTGCCTTTCTCTGGTCCCTCCTTGATTAGCTTAATAACTAACCTCCTGAATTCGTTGTCAGGTAAATCAGGGATTTCTTCTTGGTTTGGAGCCATTGGTGGTGAACTAATGTGATTTTTGTGGAGTGGTGAAGAGCCTTGTTTTGTCATATTACCAGGTTTGGTTTTCTGGTTCCGTCTCATTTGGGTAGGCTCTGTCAGAGGGAGGGTCTAGGGCTGAAGGCTGTTGTTCAGATTCTTTTGTCCCACGAGGTGTTCCCTTGATGTAGTACTTTCCCCCTTTTCTTATGGATGTGGCTTCCTGTCAGCTGAATCACAGTGATTGTTGTCTGTCTGCTGGATCTAGCCACCTGGTGAGTCTACCCAGATCCAGGCTGGTACTGGGGGTTGTCTGCACAGAGTCCCATGATGTGAACCTTCTATGAGTCTCTCAGCTGTGGATACAAGTGTCTGTCCTGGTGCAGGTGGTGCGAGTGTGCAATGGACTCCATAAGGGTTCTTTGCTTTGGTGGCTGAATGCTCTACTTTTGTGCTAGTTGGCTGCCTGCCAGGAAATGGCACTTTCCAGAGAGCATCAGCTCTGGTAGTATTGGGAGGAACTGGCGGTGGGCAGGGCCCTAGAGCTCCCAAGATTATATGTCCTTTGTCTTCTGCTACCAGGGTGGATAGGGGAGGACCATCAGGTAGGGGAGGGCTAGGCACGTTTGAGCTCAGACTGTCCTTGGGTGGGTCCTGCTGCAGCTGCTCTCGGGGGTGGGGGTGAGATACCTAGGTTACTGGAGTTGTGTACCTAGGAGGATTATGGCTGCCTCTGCTGAGTCATGCAGGTTGTCAGGGAAGTGGGGGAAAGCCAGTAGTCACAGGCCTCACCCAGCTCCCACGCAAACAGAAGGGCCAGTCGTACTCCCACTGTGCCCCCCAACAACAGCCCTGAGTCTGTTTCCAGGCGGAGGGTGTGATGGGTTTGAACACTTACCCCAGGGTACCTGCCTTCCAGCTGCAAAATAAAAGGGCTTGGTTCCTCCCCTGCCTATGGAGTCTGGACACTAGATTTGCACCCTCCCCTGAGTTCTGGCCAGGAGGCCTCTCACCCCATTCAAATTGTTACAAAGGCCAGCTAGAGATTTCCTTCTGCCTGTGGAGTTTTACCCCGTGCTCCTCTCCCATTGGATCCCTGTGGTGCCAGGCAGGTATGGGGTGCTTGGGGACCCAGCGAGCTCCCAGGGCCTTTCTGCTGCTTCCTTTACCCCCTGTATGTTGCTCAGCTCTCCAAATTGACTCAGCTCCAGGTAAAGTTGTAAACTTTTCACGCAAACAGACCTTCGGCTTCTCCAGTGGGGGTGTATATTTGGGAGAGGAGGGCCGCCCTTTCCTACTTCCATGGTTGGGGCACTCACAGTTTTAGGGGGGTCTCCCGGGTCCTGCAGGAGCAGTCCGCTTCCTTCAGAGGCTCTGTGGATCCTCTCGGGATTGCTGGTTTGTTCTTGCAGCTGATCTGGGTCTAAAATTAACAATGCGAGCCCCCACATACTGCTCTGTCTAGAGCTGCAATCTAGTCCTGCCTCCCATCCACCATGATGATCCTCTACTAGTTTGTATTAGTCCTTTCTCATGCTGCTAATAAAGACCTGAGACTGGATAATTTATAAAGGAAAGATGTTTAATTGACTCACAGTTCCACAGGGCTGGGGAGGCCTCAGGAAACTTAGAATCATAGCAGAAGGGGACGCAAACACGTCCTTCTTCACATGATGGCAGCAAGGAGAAGTGCTGTGCAAAGAGGGAAAAGGACCTTAACAAATCATCAGATCTCATGAGAACTCACTCAGTATCACAAGAACAGCAGCATGGGGGTAACCATCACCATGATTCAATTACCTCCCACTGGGTCCCTCCCATGACATGTGGGAATTATGGGAACTACAATTTAAGATGAGATTTGGGTGGGGACACAGCCAAACCATATCATACTTTATATAAAGGATACATTTTTGTAAGCATGCTTATACATAATTAAAAAATTCAGATACTTTACAGAAAAATCATTAAAATCGATAAATAATTATTGATAAATTTGGTACAGAAGGAAATGCTAAGATTTTTTGTCAGCATAACTTTCTGATACTTTGGCATAAAACTATTTTAGTTGCACATGTTTTTTCCAGTAGGTAATACAGAACTTAAAATTATATTTCAATGCAAATGGTGGTCACTTTGGAAAACAGTTTGTCAGTTCCTTATAAAATTCAGCATGAGTTTACAATACAACATAGTGGCCTACTCATGGTTATTTACCCAAGAGTTATTTGTCCCTGTTTCTACCCAGAGTCTTGTACTCGTATGTTTGGGGCAGTTTTACTCACAATAGCCTAAAACTGGAAATGAAATGACCAAAAGTGTCATCAACTGATAAAGGGATACTATGTGGTAACAAAAAGAATGAACTATTAATCTGTGCAACAACATGGATGCAACGCAAAATCTTTAAGGAAAGTGACAGATGCAGGGCACTAAAGACTGTATACCAAATGATTCCATGTATATGAAATGATAGAAAGGGAAAGCTAGAGTGACTAAAAGCAGATGAGTGGTTGGCAAGGGCTGGAGGAAGTAGGTGGGAATTTACTGCAGAGACTTGCAAATGTTTTTATTCCATAAAATAGATGGAAGTGTCCTATTTTGTGATTGTGGTGATGATTAGATGATTGTAGAAAAGTGTTAAAACTCATCAAGTTGTATACTTATAAGTGGTAAATTTCATTGCATGTAAATTATGCCTCAATAAAGCTGATTTTAAAGTCCCCAAAAGCACAAACTACAAAGCAAAATAAAGATGTATTTGGCTAAATTAAAATTAAAGACTTCTGAATATCAGCAAATACCATAGTATGTAAAGCAAACAAATAAAACAGAGCAACATAAAAACAGCACTACCACCAACAACGAAAATACAAACCTCAGATTGGGAGAAGATATTTTCAACATGTAAATATAAGTGGATAAAATTTTACTATCAAAAATTATAAAGATTTCCTAGCAATCAATAAGAAAGAAAGAATATCCAAGTAGGAAAATGTTCAATATGTTTGAAGAAATATTTCACGGAAAAGAGAACTCAGATGGCTTCCAAATATTTTAAAAGATGTTGAAGATTATTAGTTATAAGGAATGCACAAATTAAAGCTGCATTCAAATTCTTGTGCATGAAATTGGCAAAAGCTTTTGAGTTTGACAATGGAAAATGGTGACAAAGATATGAACCAATAAAAATTCTCATGCATTTCTGTTAGAAGCGTAAATTGATACTGCCTCTTTAAAAAGCAAGGTGATTATACCTACTAATGTTTAAGAAGGTCATAATTGGGACCCAGCAAATTCAATCCAAGAAATATACCTGGCCTAGGCCAACTCTTGCACTTGGGCTCATGAAAACATGCACATACGTATTCATGTCAATGTTATTTTTTGTAATGGCAAAAACAAGCAGAAGATCACTATACATCTATCAGAAGAGTGAAAATCCAAAACTCAGACAACAACCAATGCTGGTGGGGATGTGGAGCAACAGGAACTCTCATTCATTCTTGATGGGAATGCAAATGGAACAGCCACTTTGGAGAACAGTTTGGCAGTTATTTTCATAGCTAAACATACTTTTACTGTACAATCCAGCAATCACAGTCCTTGGTATTTACCCAAATGAGTAAAAGCTTATGTCCCCACAAACACCTGCACATAGATGTTTATAGAACCTTGTTTATAAAAATTGCCAAAATGTGAAAGCAACCAAGATGTCCATCAGTAGGTGAACAAATAAACTGGTGCATCCAGACAATGGGATATTATTCAGTGATAAAAAGAAATGAGCTATCAATCCGTGAAAAGACATGGAGGAACCTTAAATGCATGTCACTAAGTGAAAGAAGCCAATCTGAAAAAGGCTACATAATACGACATTCTGGAACAGTCAAATCTCTGGAGACAGTAAAGAGATCAGAGGTTGCCAGGGATAAGGGGCAGGGAGGGATGAATAGGTGAGCACAGGGTATATTTAGTACAGTGAAACTATTTTGTAAGATACTGCAGTGGTGGTTATGTCATTATAAATTTCTCAAAACCCATCAAATATCCAACACAAAGGGTTAACCCCAGTGTAAACTATAGTCTTTGGGGGATAGTGATACCTGAATGTAGGTTTGACATCAATTGTAACAGCGGTGTCACTTTGATGAAAGATACTGATAGTGGGGGAAGCCGTGCATGTGTAGGGGGCAGAGGTATATGGGAACTCTCTGTGCCTTCCTACTTTTGCTGTGAACATAAAATTGCTGTAAAAAAATAAATTCTATTTGAAGCACAAAACAGCCTACCAACCAACAAGAGATCCCTAAATGTTCGGCAGTAGAGAAATTGATAAAGTATAGTGGATTCAAGCAATGTTATACTGTATATACAGTGAAACTGTAAACACACATATCAACAAGAATCAATTACAGGAATGTAAAATTGTGCAAAAATGAAATTGCAATTGGATATAGGCAAATTGGAGATGAACAGTATAATACCATTTATATCATGTTACAAATTAAAATTTGCAAAATAGGTACAAAATATTAGAATATATAAATGTGTGTACAGGAAAATCCTAAGAAAGTACACATTAATGATAAACATTAAATTCATTAGTGGCTCCTACTTCAGAACAGGCAGAATGAAATCAGGCCTGGGTACCTACTTAGCTTTGACTGTGTGTGTGTTAGAATATCGGTATTTATTTTAGAATGTTTATATATTTTGTATTGATGAAGTACTCTGTCAGAAAATAGCCATGGAAAATTATGCTGGATTTGCAGCCAGAAAATTTTAAACATAAGCAGCAAACACTCAAGAAGTTAATCTGGGAAGTTTTTGATGCTGTGAATAATAATTTTTTGTCTTGTGTGATTTACATTTTCAAGGTTACACGTTAAAATTCTGCAGAAGAAATTGCTTTCCTAGATGTTGTTGTAACCCAAAGTTTGTGTTGGGGGAAGGTAGTTAAGCTGATGAATAGGAATGTTGGAGAAGAGAAGAGCTGAGAATGTTTGCACGAGATAACTGTACTGCAACTGTGGATATGACCGGGCTGCACTTTGCATTTATTGTCTGGCCAGTACTTACTAAAGTCTCTTAGTTATAAGCCTCCATTTGCATAAAACTTATGCTCAAAGTCAGGGTTCCAGAGTTCTGATGAAAAAAAAAAAGTCTTTTTTTTCTCTTCTCCTCTCAGACACCACTCAACACAATAATTCTGATACCAGATATGTGGGGGCTTATCTCCACACACCAAGCAATTCTCCAGCAATACTAAGTGTTCTGTAATTTAACTCAATTTTGACATCATCATCTACCTGGAGATAGCATCAGATTCTTCAAGTTGATGCCTTGGCTGCATAAGACTGCCCTCTACTTCAATTTAATTTTTCTTTTTTGGTTGAGGGATGGAGTCTCACTCTGTTGCCCATGATGGAGTGCAGTGACACAGACTCAGCTCACTTCAACCTCTGCCTCCCAAGTTCAAGCGATTCTCATGTCTCAGCCTCTCAAGTAGCTGGGACTACAGGCGCGTGCCACCACACCCGGCTAATTTTTGTATTTTTAGTAGAGATAGGGTTTTGCCATGTTGGCCAGGCTGGTCTCGAACTCCTGGCCTCAAGTGATCCGCCCACCTTGGCCTTCCAAAGTTCTGAGATTACAGGTGTGAGCCACCGCACCCGGCCTGCCCCTACTTCAGATTCCAGCTGCAAGTAGTAGATTGTCATCTTTACTTCTGTCTGACTGATTTAAATCAGGGGTTCCCATGATCCCCCTCCTCATGATAGAGCAGCTCACATAACTCAGGAAAACAGTTTACTAATGTTTACCTATTTATTATAAAGGATAGTACAAAGCATACAGATGAACACTCAGATGGAAGAGATGCCTAGGGCAGGAAATGTGGGAAGAGGCACAGAGCTCCCATGTCCTGTCCAGCGCATTACCCTCCAGATACCTAGTTTTAGTTCAGCAACCTAGTTTTAATTCTGACTCTTATCTTTTTGGGTTTTTAAGGAGGCTCCATTTTGTAGGCATGGTTGATTCCATCATTGGCCATTGGTAATCAAGTCAACCTTCAGCCCCTCTATCCTCCATGGAGGTCAAGGGTGGAATGTGTTGGGGGAAGGCTTAAAGTTCTGACCCCCCAGTTGCATTGTTGCTTCCCCTGGCAACCAGCCAACATCCTGAGGCTATCCAAGAGCCTACCAAGAGTCACCTCTTTCGAACAAAAAAGGATATTTTTACCTAGGAAATTTTAAGGGATTTTAGGAGCTCTGTGTCAGGAACTAGGGTCAAAGACCAAATATCAGAACAGATATTTTCCATATTCTCCTTGAACTTCTGTCGAGAAGGATATTAGGAGCTCTCTCAGGAACTGGGGAAGTGAGCAAGTGTACATTTCTTATTATATCACAGTATCACAAGAGTTAATTCAGTCTCCCATGTTCATGGAGAGACTGACTGTGCTTGGCATTCCTTTTCTAATTTTCCTAGACACAGCCACTCAGTATTTTAAAAATGCATTTTTCCAGGTAGCTACTACCAATCAGTAGTACCTGAAATAAAATTGATTTGCTATCCTGATCTATTCAGGATAGGCTAAGTTATGCTTTGATAAGAAAAAAAAAAACCCAAATCTCAATGGCTTTCAATACAGTGGCTTTAATTCATGTACATCATTGTAGTTGTTTATTTGGTGTCTATTGAGAAAATGGAAAATGACTAAAAATGCTAGTATGAATTCAGAAACACTATTACATATTTAAGTAAAATATTTTATTTGATTAATCAGATACATTTTAAAATTATACTTGCAATTGCAAATATGTGTGTGTGTATGCACACACGCATATACATTTTCAAAATATATAAATTATTCAGTATATAGATAATGCTTCTGGAGTGTATGGTGGTTTCATTGATTGTTTCTTATAACCCCCAACCCCCTGGCCCACAGGTATTGGGGATTGCAGGAAGGGTTGCTTAACTAGATCACAAAGTCTTTGTAAGGGGAGTTATTGAAATAATATTAATGGGTACAGTTTTTTTAGGGGAGGGGAATAAGGGAGTGATATAAATAAAATGATGTTTGAGAAATTGTACTTATAGGCCAGGCATGGTGGCTTACGCCTATAATCCCAGCAGTTTGGGAGACTGAGATGGAAGGATTGCTTGAGGCTAGGAGTTCAATACCAGCCTGGGTAACATGGCAAAACCCCGTCTCTCCAAAACGTAGAGAAAAATTAGCCGGGCGTGGCAGTGTGTGCCTGTAGTCCTAGTGATTCAGGAGGCTTATATGAGAGGATCACTTAAGCCTAGGAATTTGAGAATTTGAACCTGTAATGAGTTATGATGGCTCCACTGCACTTCAGCCTGGGTGAAAGAGAAAGACCCTGTCTCCAAAAAAAGTAAAATAAAAATAACAAAAGAAGAAACCGTACTTCAGTGTTTGGAAAAAAAAAAATGAGTCAGGAAAGTCAGAAGGAGGAAGGATTACTTTTTGCAGTAATTTTGATCATAATGCAGTGAAAAATCTGATCTAGATTGGTACAAAAGGGAAGGGGCCCAGAAAATTTGGAGACAAAGCTGTGGTAGTCATTGATGATATATTGCACATTGCTGGTAAAATACAGATTAAATTCCTTAAATCTGGAGTAACATAAAATATGTTACTCAAGACAACTTAAAAAGACATTGAAATGTTGGCTATCTGCATTTCTCTTAATCACCGAAAATACAACAATTCAGAATGTATAATTAACTCTATGTAGGATTTATAGGTAATATGAAGTTCTGGAGTATTTTAAACGTTGTAATAAGATCTTTTAATATTTTTACCGCTAGAATCTCTATGAACATTGTCTAAAATGAATAGATGTAATTGGGATCTTTTAATATATGTGATAGCTTTCTATAAAAAGGAAAAAATATTGCCATAAAATTCATACAGGTTTAGTGTATATTTAAAATATATTTGTTATATTCACACAGTAAACACGCTATTTAGAGTGTTGATGACGTGCTAAGCAATGTCCAAAGTCATGGGGACAGAGCAGAGATCGAGACAGAGTGCACCATCTCATGGATATTTCATTCTAGTAGATAAAGACAGGAAATAAACCATTTAGCTAATAATTAGTGATGCATGTCATGGAGATAATTAAAATAAGTAAGGTGATGGGTCTGTTGGATTGGATTGGTTTATTGTAGAAGGCCTCTTTGCTGGATAGCCAGAAGGAACCAGTCATTGGATGCTTAGAGAGAGAAGCATTGAATCTATGTAGAAGAGATAGTGCAAAGACCCTAAGGTGAGAATGAGTGTGGACTGTTCAAAGACAGAAAGAGGCCAGTGTGATTGAAGTCCAGCAGGTGAAGGGGGTAAGTGGTATGAGATATGATGTGGAAGAGATAGTTGGGGGCTGATTTTCAGGGACTTTGAAAGCTAGAACAAGAAGTTTGGATTTTATTTTAAATTCAATGGAAAGCTGTTGGATGTGGTGTATTATAGGAATTGAATGATGTTTCTAAATAATTTTACTCCATGAAGAGGGGATTGGAGAAGACAAGAGAATGAAGTAACTCAATAGGGATGGTAGTAAAGAAATACTTTGATTCAGAAGTTTCGTCAGATTGGATTTAAGAGGTAAGAGAGAAAGAGGAATTAAAGAGTTTTGGATTTGAGGACATTGTTGAGATGAGGAAGGCAGAAGTCATAGAGAAAGGCAGACTTATTAAGAGTCCTGTTTTGATTGTGTTTGTTAGGTTGGTGGTATCTGAGTGAAGATGTCAAGTAAGCAGCTTGATGTTAGCTTGGAGTCTAAGGAGACGTCAGGGCTGGTGACATAGATGTGAGAGTCATTGGGTTATATTATGGTATTTAAAACCACAGGTTGGTGTGAGAATCACCTGCAGGAATATGTAGTCACAGAAGACAAAGGGGCTCAGGTCAAGCACTTCTGGCATTTAGAGGCAGATCAGAGGAGAATGACCTGCAAAGCAGACACTTTTTTGAGTCTTCTAAAAAGATAAAAATCTTTCTTGGAATCCTTATTGTCTAAATAAACTGAAACAATGGGCTATTCATTTAATAGTGCATTAGTACATATTCGTTTAATATGGGCACTAAAGTGTAAGTTCTATATACAGTTGTATTTTAGTGGTAACTCTATTTTGTTGCTGCAAAAATTGAAATGCAGATGATGAACACAAAAAATAAAATCACAATTTTGGAAATGACGTAACAAATGAATGTATCTGGAAAAAATCAGGGATGTAAAAGGAACAAAACAGTTGCCAAAAAAGCAAACGATAAAAGTACATATATAATTATTGTCATATTTCTTATGGGGAAGCAGAAGGAAAAAATAAAACTAATAGAAAACTCCATCACAGAATGCGAGGGCAAAGATTGATTTATGAAGAAAAGGAGGGAAAGAACAAGACCAAGCCTTGAGCTGATCCATGAATTTATATATTTATAAGGAAAGGTGATCTTTATGCTCCACTATAACAAACTGCAGGAACAGATAAGCTGTCCACTCTTCAGTGTGTTTAACACGAGTAATAACTTCTATGAAAGTTAAAATCATCGTCTGCCATTTTTGTAATACCCTACCCACAGGAAAGAAAAGTAAAGGTGGGTATTAGACTTAAAGACTTCAGTACACCTTTAGAACTCAGGAACAATAGCTATTTCAAACAGTTTAAAAACATTTTTTGTGAATCCACATCAATTGGGAGTATAATGTGATGGTTTGATGCAGAATAAGCTTGAACAATATTTAGGCACTGAAGTCTTCTCAGTTTCTAAAAAGTACTCTGCAACTCACATTGAGAGTTTCACTGTAAAAGAGTATTCCTAATATATTGGGAGCGTTCACATATAAGTTCAGTGATTGACTTCTTTGAAAAGGCCATGGTTTGTGTTGACATAATTTTTTTTTGAGACATGGGGTCTTGCTCTTTTCCCCAGGCAAGAATGCAGTAGTGCAATTATAGCTCACTGCAGCCTCAACTTCCCAAGCACAGGTGATTCTCCCACCTGAGCCTCCCAAGTAGCTGGGACTACAAGCACGTGCTACCATATCTGGCTAATTTTTTGTATTTTTTTTTTTTTTGTAGAGGTGTGGTTTTGCCATGTTGCCTAGGCTGGTCCTGAACACCTGAGCTCAAGCAATCAGGCCACCTCCCCTCCCAAAGTGCTGGGATTACAGGTGTGAGCTACAGTGCCCAGCCATAATGTTTAAAAATATTACAATGATGCTACTGAGGAATGGGAATCATTTGTTCCTTCAGAAACAAGTTACATCATTCTCTTAACCAACCACGTTATTCTTTGTCATCGTCACTCATTCATCACTCAACCATGGGTGCACATTCTCATTCATCAGCTCTCCCATCACCTGGATGCAGGCATTGTGCTTGGTGCTGGCATAGGAAGATTAAGATGCAGTTCCTGAACTCAGGAGGGCGGAGTTTCATGCATGGACTCTAGTAATCCAAGGATGGCCTGCAAGACTCCATTCTTTGATGTTATATCCAAAATTATTTATCAGCATATAGATTTTTAAAATCAGATTATCAATGAGATGTGTGTCCAGGAAGATGAAAAGACAAAGAATCATTGGTGTAGGCTTTACAGATGGAATGTGTGGCTGAAATACACAGTTTTTATTGTTTTCAAATTATTCTAAATTCTTTAATCCTCTTTACTTAGGGTGTCAAAATCCTTAACCTTGGCTCTATTAGCTTCATTTGGATTTCTGTGAGCTTCCATCAGCACCAAGAGACCAGTACCACTGTAGCAACATAACAGAGTTATGTTACTTTTTTATATAAAATAATTTTTAATTTTTTCTATATGACAGAAAAATATATTTTTTTAAAGATTTATTAGCTGGATGCAGTGGCTCATGCCTATAATCCCAGCACTTTGGGGGGCTGATGCTGGAGGGTCATTTGAAGCTGGGAGTTTGAGACCAATCTGGGCAAGATGGCAAGACCCCGTTTCTACAAAAAATTAGAAAATTAGCCGAGTATGGTGGTGCACACCTGTAGTTCCACATACTTGGGAGTCTGAAGTGGGAAGATCCCTTGAGCCCAGGAATTTGAAGTGAGCTATGATCATGCTACTGTGCTCCAGCCTGGGCGACAAAGTGAGACTCCCCTCTCTAAAAAATAAACATTTATTATTATTTTGCTTTTGTATCATATGCATGCCTCTGTTAAATTATTCAACACATATCTAAATGTGCTCAATGTTATTTTTCCTGATCAAATTATGAACAGTGCAATTCCTAGAGTCTTTTTTTTTTTCATTTCATTTCATAGTTCTACATAGGTTTTGGCCTAAATGAGAAACTGAGAGTAAATCTCCGCTTAAATCCTTAAAATGCTATTGCCTTTTCTTTTCCCTCTTCTTTATTCTCATGGTAGAATTAAGAGTTATCATTGACCAGAGTGTTTTCACTCTACTGTGGCTCCCAGACAGTGACTTTCTGCTAGAGAGAAAGAGCTGGAGATGAAACTGACCCTATTTGAATACGGAAGAATAAAATTATAAGGTTGAGTTATTCAGTGGGTTAATAAGAGAAGGAATTATACAAAATAAAATTATAAGGTGGGGCCTTTGAACAGGAAACAACTATCAAAGCTCTGCAATAGAGAAAATTCTCAATACTGTAAAGATAATTTTGATGTGCTGGACTTCTGGGCCAGAAGAGGTTTCCTGAGACACCCAAGATGCTTTTCCCACATCCATTAGTTCAAAGTTACAAAATAGTAGGGGCTGGATCTAAGTATATTATCCCTGAGTGGTGGGTTATACTGCCGGCTAATAAAAAGTTTTATACTTTGACATGTTCTGCTAAGTTTTATTGTGGGTTGTAAATGTTTAATATCCTCCTAGGGGCTTTTAGGAGAATATGTTTTCACAGCACATGTGGTGCTGTTATACTCCGAACCAATCTAATGGGCTTTAATTATGCCAAGGTCTGTGGATCCCGGAGATGCTGACAAATTCATAATGTGTTTTAAATTGCTAGGATGGAAAGTACAAATCAAAAGTTTAATCTGGAGTAGTGTTTAGAAAATAATTTCCTTTGCTAAGATGCCACCTGTCATTCTCCTTTCTCAAGTTGAAGAATGTGGTTGAGTCATTCATTCATGAATCTCATGTGACATTCCTATCCTTACCATGGAGCAGATGAAATGCTGAAGTTGACTTTAGGAAACCCAGATTTGAGGCCCGAGTTTTCACTCACTTTTTGTTTGAATCGGTACAAGTCACCTGATATGAAAGACTTCATTTTCCATGGGTCTAATATAGGGGAGTGCTGTAACATGGGAAGACTGACTTAGTATTATTGAGAGAATCAAATAAGATGATACACGGACCACCAGGAAACATCTGAGAGGGCTCTTCCTTATTGTTTTGGTTGAGGGATGTTTAAATCGTAACTAGCAGGCCTGCTAGAAGTTCTCTGCTTAGTTGGGAATCTAGTTGATTCTGTTAATATTTTTCCCTTTTGATCAACATTGCAATCTTCTAAGCTACTGCATTCCCTTATTCTATTAACATGGCTATCTTGGGACTATACCGTACTTCCTTTTGCAACCCAGTTGACATGCAGGTATACGTAAATTTGGTATTTGCCTGCTTTCTTAGTTCTGAAAATGGGAGAGGACCAAACACTACTCTCGTCATTCAAATACTGAGTAAAGCTCTGCTCCAGTGATAAACTTTTCAGTGATCCTGTATACTTGCTGACTTTCATGAGTTGCTGATGATCTGCAAGACAAAATTAGATCTTCAGTGCTGAGTTAGGCAAAGCGCTTCGCTCCTCATCTTCCTGATGACACCCCTACAGTTTGCCATCAGATGCAGATAGTGATGATGATAGTAGGGCATTAACTGGTGCTTCAAAGCATACCGGTGACCTTTCCACATTTTTTATAAAATAAATACGTCCGAGTTTGCTAGGGGATTCCAATCTTCACTCCCATAATGCTGAGGACAGCATAATATCAATGAAGTCTGTTCAGCTTTCTGCCAGTCAGACCAATGTGGAACCAAATATGTATTACTGTCTTACAATAATCGAAGTGAATTTCATGGAAAAGCAGAGTTCCTGGTACATTGTAAGGACTCACTAGATGTTTGTGAAATCGAATTGATAAGACCTTTCATTCTCCAAGCAGAAGGAAGTTGTTGTATTATAAGTAGTTATAGAAATTATGAACACATGGCTTTAAGTATATGCTGACTTTGCAGTGCCCAGTCAAGTGCCAGGTAATCTTTAAATACTGATAAATTGAATCCAATAGTTAATTAACAGACTTTAAAAACCACAATCTCATAATGAAAATTCTACTTAGAGACTGAAAAAAAACTCTATGCTAATCTCTCTTTATGCTCATCCAAGATCATCCCTGATTGAATACATACCATTCAAATCTGTAAAACTCAAGATTGCAAGTATTAGTATTAGAATATGTAGTTTATTGTGTTTTGTGAGGGTTATAAATATTGTTTGTCTTTTTTTAAGAAAGATAAAAAAGTTGTGATTAGCATACTGTAGGAACTTCATTTACTATGGATTCATAAAGAGTATTACCAGTCACTGTAGGAAAGTGTTTGTCCTTACAATTGCAAACCTTCCAAGCACTGTAGTTGATAAGAGTTCAAACAGTCACGTAACCCCTTTTCTAAATACAGAGCTTCCTGCTACAAGTTTAAATTTTCTTCTTTAAGATATTTCTCCTAAATAAGGTATTATTAAGCAGAACCAGTTTCTTAGTAATGAAGTTAATAAAACAGGCCAGTCTGATGATGACTTTTGTGTCTTTCTAAGAACAAAAGACAAAAGCAATCTAATAATGACTTTAGATCTGTAGTCTATCCAGAGTTAAAGTGCTTGCCTTTTCTTTTCCCTCCTCTTTATTCGCATGGTAGAATTAAGAGTTATCATTGACCAGAGTGTTTTCACTCTACTGTGGCTCCCAGACGGTGACTTTCTGCTAGAGAGAAAAAGCTAGAGATGAAACTGACCCTATTTGTCTATCCAGAGTTAAAGTGCGTGTGATAAAACCAGTAGCCTCACCTGTTAAGGCCCATTGATCTAAAGAAAAATCTCAGGTGCAGTATAATTGTGTAATTGTTGCTAATATTGTTATCAAATTATTTGACACTGTTCTCTTTGAACAACGAACTCTGGCCCATACTACTTGAATTCAGACATAATTTAAATGAAATGTGAATGTGTAAATATATTATTGCAATATGTGTTTTCACTGCACTCATAAAACTTAGAGTGATCATTAATGACATATTTTTAAAAATACCAAGCCTCAAACTTCCACTCAAAAGCTTTTCTGTTATTTTACTGATTCATACATTTATTTTCTGTCAAACAAGCAAACACTGAATTAAAAATGGGAAACTTTTACATATTTTGCTTCCCTTTACCATCACCTTAATGGCTTAACATAAGTCTTTAATGTGATAGGAAACATACGAGTGCGACTCACAATTATGGTAAAAAATTCAAATAGGGATATACCCTTTGAACTTAAGAACTCTAGGAATTTAGACGAAAGATACAATCATTATAATAAGAGATTGTGAGAGAGTCATTACAAGCCTTGATATATTTACAATGTCCATTCTTATAACCAGTTCCTAGAATAGGTTAGTTGTATTGGTAAACTGGTGTCCCTGAATTATACAGGATATTCCTCTCACTACAGAGTGAGCTAAGCATATCCTTCAGAAGTTACCTTCATTTTAGGTTGGCTCTTACAGGCTTAGGAAATAACAGGAACATTGTTAGGCTAAGAGAATAGAATCTAAATTTATCAGACAGACATGGAAGCCAGAATACCTTCAGCTAAAATCCCAGCTCTATCATTTATGTATTTGTTTGTTTTCCATTTTTTTTCTACTTATAAACAATACTACAGTGAATATTCATATATGAAATAAATATCTCTGGACACTGTTCAACATTGCCTTAGAATAAATTCCTAAAAATGGAATTCTAGGGTAAAGTCATGTACTTTTTAGGGCTTTTGATATTTACTGTCATATTGCCCTTCAGAATAGTTTACAATCTTCTGAGCTGTGTTTCTACGCATCCATTTGCCCATTCTTACATCTGCACTGGGCATCAAAATAAGAAAAATCTTGCTAATCTGAAAGGCATAAGATCTCTGTTTTGAAAGAATTGTACTTCTTTGATTAGTGGTGAGGCTGACCTTTCCCTGTTCATACCCTTTGCCCATTCTTCGAGTATTTGTCTTTTTTGGCATATAGCTGCCATTTATACACGTGGTCACAAACCACATGATATTGCATGTATATAACAATTTCCAGTTTTCCTGATAACATATTGCTTTGGTTATTAAAGTTCTAAAGGGTATATGTGTTAATAATTTATATCTATTCATATGAAGATAGCTCTGCGGTTATCTTTTTTTTTTTTTTTTTTTTTTTTTGAGACAGAGTCTTGCTCTATTGCCCAGACTGGAGTGCAGTGGTGCAATGTCAGCTCACTGCAACCTCTGCCTCTCGGGTTCAAGTGATTCTCCTGCCTCAGCCTCCCAAGTAGCTGGGATTACGGGTGCACGCCACCACTCCTGGCTAATTTTTGTATTTTTAGTAGAGACGGGGTTTCACCATGTTGGCCAGGCTGGTCTTGAACTCCTTACCTTAGGTGATCTGCCTGCCTTGGCCTCCCAAAGTGCTGGGATTACAGGCATGAGCCACTGCGCCCAGCTGGTTATCCTTTAAAATTTAATATTTTAAAATAGTTATGTTTATACTACCTGAAAACCTTGTGAATTCATTATATTAAATATACATATGTACCTTTTTCTCACTTTGTCCTGGCAATCATATAAATTGTGACAGTCTTTGCAATCACATTGAGAGGTTTTCTCTAGTTGTTTAACATCTGCCTCAGTGATAACTCAAATACATTTGGAGGATGCTTTACTTTATATAATTATCTTATTGCTTGAGAATACAGATTCATGAGGCCAAATCCAAGAAATACATTTTATCCAACTGGATAGTCCTAGTTATCAGATAATTCAGTAATTCCAACCACCACAGCCTTGTTTTCCTTTTTTTGTGTAAATTTTCTGTCGGGTGTAAGAGATTTGTGTCTCAGGGAAATCTTGACTTAGTAGAGAATGAGTGGTATGGAGAGATACAGATCACTCTACTGTAATTCCATCTCAGCAGTTAATGGGCCCAGCTTTGCAATAGGATGATTTCTGAGTGTGATATGATTCTTTTATAAGCAGTAGGTACAAGTTGACTACATGGATGAGTCAGACTTTAAAAAAATGTCATCTCCCCTGCTTTGACAGTGTTCATTTCTTACCTTGGAAGGCAATCTAGTGCTGAGGAAAGCCTGCTGGCTAGAGATCAGGAGCCCTAGACTTGCCTGTAAGCTCATCCCATTTTTGGCAAGTCCCTTCAGCTTCTTTTGTTTTCTGAGTTCTGAAGTGACAATAATAATTCTATTTCCTCATCCATTATAACTGAACATCATATAAAATATGCAAATTACACTGAAAATACAGAAAGAGCTACACAAATGTAAATTGCTCTTAAAGAGGAAAATCTCTGATTATTCTGAATCTCTGTACGTAAACTCAGTGCCCAGAAGATGCATATATGAGCTGTCACTTGGGCCGTCTGTTTCAAAGGCTACTTATTGATGTTGTTATGCGTCCTCAAGCTATTATGCCATCTTCCATTTCTGGGTGTGGGGAGCATGGAATCAAGTTTTCAAAAGAAAGGTGGTGAAGGTTTTCTCTTGGCATTTATTTATATATGTATTAATCTTACATATAGATAGAAAGGAGAATCATTTCATCCATTCAAGAGCCATGAACTTTATATGAATGTCATTTCAACAATAAAGCAAAAACTACAGACTGTCTAAGGAAAACTCCGTTTTATTATTTGGTTTGTTACTTACCAAAACATACAATTTAAGACCTGAAAATATCTAGAATACATAGAGTATTATGGTCAATCAATACAAAAGTGACAACCAAATAGAAAAAATGACAGATGCATTTCACAGAAGAGGAAATGCAGATGATCATTTATAATATGAAAACATCAGCCTCATTATTAATTGTAGAAATAAAAATTAAAAGCACAACGAGGTATCATTTCACAGATTGGAATGTGGAGCAGGAGGAACTTTCACTCACTCCTGACGGTATAAGCACTTTGGCAAACTGTAATTATTTAGTAAATTTGAAGATACGCGTATATTGTAATTTAGGATTGTCTCTTAGGTATATATTCTAGCAAGACTTTTGCTCACGTGCACAAGGAAACATACATAAGAGTATTTGTTGCAGTATTGATGGGAGAAAGAATTGGAAATAGCAGCAGACTGCAGAAGAAATTGAGCTATAGTCATGCAGCGGATGACTCTGAGCAATAAAAATGAATGGGCCACAGGAGTCCACATCCACATGGATTAATCTCAAAAATATAATATTGCATCACCAAAAGAATTACAGAAGAATATACACTTTATAATACATATTTTATGTTTCTAGTTATATAAAGGGCAGAACTCAGCAAATTTTTTATTTTTGAGACAGGGTCTCACTCTGTCACCCAGGCTGGAGTGCAGTGGCACAATCACTGCTTACTGCAGCCTGGACCTCCCAGGCTCAAGCGATCCTCCCATCTCAACCTCCCAAGTATCTGAAACTACAGGCATGCGCCACCAAGCTGGGCTAATTTTTGTATTTTTTGTAGAGATGGGGTTTCACCATGTTGCTTGGGCTGGTCTTGAACTCCTGGGCTCAGGTGATCCACCAGCCTTGGCCTCCCAGAATGCTGGCATTACAGGCATGAGCCACTGTGCCCAGCCAACAAATTTAAATAACATACTGTGTAGGTCTACATAAATTTGTGGTAAAATTATAAAGAAAAACAGGAGAATGTTGTGGAGAGACACAGAAAGCTCCAAAATTACTCATAATATTGTATTCTTCAACCTGGTTGATGGACTCATGGGTGTTAATTTTATTTAAAATATGCATTTCTTTACATACATATTTTGGAATATATGATACAAAGGTATTTCAATAAAACTATGAGGGCCTAGAAGATGTTGGTTTGGACTCAGTCTGCAAACTCTGAACATAGCCTACAGAAATGTTGGCAATACATGAAAAATTATGTCTTAACTACAATTTTACTAATGCTTCATTAATAAGCAGAAGAGTTTGTATATAGATAAGGAAATGATTGACAAACTGAGAAGAGAAAGAAAATACTTACTAGGACTAGATTATTAAATAATCATATAGGTAGCTGATAGGATTAATACCATTTAATAATTTTCTATCTGTTTACCATCCTAAAAATTAATCCAAAGAAGTCTTGTGTTCAGCCACAAAATGTAAATTTTACTGTGGCCTAAAGGTAATCTATGTGCCTGTTAAACATCAAATACATGAGTTCATGTATTTTTATCCTTGGATTGGTCAATGACTTAGCAATCAATGACAGATAGTAATCTGGCACTATTTTAAAATACTCGTGTATGCAGTCTATGGACTATTCTATCATTTAATCTATTTATGATAGCAAGTTTCACTTATGCACATCCAAAAATTTTGAGGACATTTAAATTGATTTCTTTGGATATTAATGAGAATGGAAAATAACCAGTCAACATTGTTCTCTAGGCTGTACTTTATATTATTGACATTTAAATAATTATTTGACCTTTTGTGTGATAAACATCTTTCTCCTGATATCAGCTTTGACTTTTTTCGTGTGGGTTTTAGTTTTCATGATTTAAGTTGTCTTTGTGGCATTAAAAAACCACAGAAGTAGATTTGTTAAGGATGTAACCAAAAAGAGCTAGAAGGAACTTTAGAAATAATTTTACGTCGTCTGCTGGTTTCATCTTGAAGAATTTGGGGCATGAAAGGTTAGATAACCTAACAAGAATTAGTCCTTTTAATGGTAGAATCAAGCCTTATTTGGGCCTTCTGAGTTTCAGTTCATCGTTTCTACTGTATCCCCTCTTCCTTAATATGATGATTCATTGTAACACAAATATACAATTTAATTAGTAGAAAGCTGATTTTAACTCTTACGGGTACGTACTTATACTACTTTCAGTAACTTGTTCCTAAGAAAACTGTAATACCTCGATGAGTCATATTTAGCTTATTTTCTCCATTATATGTCCTCTGTCACAAGATCCCATTTCGTGGGCTGTATTTGAGCTTGTATTTTCTTTTCTACGTAAAAGCTCTAGGATGATAATGTCATTACCACTTTTTACATGCACCTGGTGTATCAGAGACTCTGCTAAGGCATTGCACATACGTTTTTTCACTTGCTCTTTACATCATGAGGAAGAATCTAAACTTTAGAGAGTGTAGGTGATTTACTCCAGATCACATAGCTGCTGAGTAGCAGAACCAGGATTCTAATCCAGTTCCTTCTAACTACAGCATGACAAATTGTGCTTAGCATGAACTAAGCACTTTGCTCAGTTGTGAATTCACAGATGTTCTTAAACTGAAAAGGAACAAGGAATGCTAGTCTAGATTTTTATAGTATGAGATAGTCACATTATTGTACATTATTGTAAAAAGTAGAATTTTTACAATAATTCTGTAATTCCTTTTGTAATATGTTCAGTATGATTTTACTTCTACATATATTCATTGGCTTATCTACTTTTTGAAATTTGTCATTTATTTATCAAGCTAACTTGAGTTTTGTTTTTGTTTTTCATATTTGTTAGCATTCTGTGAAACTTCAGGGCTCCTGAAATATTCAGTGCTTTGACCCTTAGAGTCTGTTCCATTCCTTATGATATTTATGTAGATCCTGAAAATTATGGCTCTCAGGCCTAAACCCAGTTTATTGTGACTTTACATATATGTAAGTTAATTTGGGCTATTAATAGATGCCTTTCAAGTATGAGCCTTCGGTTTGCTGTACTTAATATTTTTTTAAAGTATACAATAACAACATTGTGCAATAAAGTTTGCATAATATTATCAGAGGCATTCGAGCCAGAGCGACTCCATTTTGAGTGAAGGCTAGGAAAATGAGGCCGGGACTTGCTGAGACTCCATCTTGACTGAGGGCTAGGAAAATGAGGCCGGGACTTGCTGAGACTCCATCTTGACTGAGGGCTAGGAAAATGAGGCCGGAACTTGCTGCGCTGCATTCTCATAAAGTCAGGCATTCCTACCCTCTAGATGTTTATTATGGTTAAGGGAAAAAATTAATAATGTTTAAACAGACCCAGACTTAGGAGTGTCCAGATATCCTGATATCTAGAGAACAATGGCATTCCTAATTTTGCTTTAAAGATAATAATATCGATTCTTGCAAACTATAGTAATTAAGAAAATTAATCCTTTATCACAAACCATTGGAGCAGAACACATCTCCCCATATATACAAGCATTGTACCTAGGGTGGACACGTTCCTCCTCTTACTTTCAGGAACGTCCTACTCTGTCTATGAAGTAGCTGCCCTTTCACCACTGTACGTTCTTAATAAACTTGCTTTTGCTTTGCACTGCGCACTCACCTTGAATTATTTCTTGCATGAAATCTAAGAATCCTCCCTTGGATCTGGATTTGTGTCTGGAATTGGTGGGTTCTTGGTCTCAATGACTTCAAGAATGAAGCCGCGGACCCTTGCGGTGAGTGTTACAGTTCTTAAAGGTGGTGTGTCCAGAGTTTGTTCTTTCTGATGCTCAGATGTGTTCGGAGTTTCTTCCTTCTGGTGGATTCCTGGTCTTGCTGGCCTCATGAATAAAGCTGAGGACCTTAGCGGTGAGTGTTACAGCTCATAAAAGCAGTGCAGACCCAAAGAGTGAGCAGCAGCAAGATTTACTGCAAGGCGTGAAAGAACAAAGCTTCTACACCGTGGAAAGGGACCTGAGCAGGTTGCCTCTGCTGGCTTGGGCAGCCTGCTTTTATTCCCTTATCTGGCCCCACCCACATCCTGCTGATTGGTCCATTTTACAGAGAGCTGATTGGTCTGTCTTATAGAGAGCTGATTGGTCCATTTTGACAGGGTGCTGATTGGTGCGTTTAGAATCCCTGAGTTAGACACAAAAGTTCTCCAAGTCCCCACTAGATTAGCTAGACACAGAGCACTGATTGGTGCATTTACAAACCTTGAGCTAGACACAGGGTGCTGATTGGTGTGTTTACAAACCTTGAGCTAGACACAGAGTGCTGATTGGTGTATTTACAATCCCTTAGCTAGACATAAAAGTTCTCCAAGTCCCCACTAGATTAGCTAGACACAGAGCACTGATTGGTGCATTTACAAACCTTGAGATAGACACAGGGTGCTGATTGGTGTGTTTACAAACCTTGAGCTAGACACAGAGTGCTGATTGGTGTATTTACAATCCCTTAGCTAGACATAAAGGTTCTCCAAGTCCCCACTAGATTAGCTAGACACAGAGCACTGATTGGTGCATTTACAAACCTTGAACTAGACACAGAGTGCTGATTGGTGTATTTACAATCCCTTAGCTAGACATAAAGGTTCTCCAAGTCCCCACTAGATTAGCTAGATACGGAGCACTGATAGGTGCATTTACAAACCTTGAGCTAGACACAGGGTGCTGATTGGTGTGTATGCAATCCTCCAGCTAGACATAAAAGTTCTCCAATTCCCCACTAGACTCAGGAGCCCAGCTGGCTTCACCTACTGGATCCCACACAAGGGCCGCAGGCGGAGCTGCCACCAGTCCCGCACTGTGTGCCCACACTCCTCAGCCCTTGGGCGGTCGATGGGACCAGGCGCCATGGAGCAGGGGGCGGCGCTTGTCGGGGAGGCTCGGACACGCAGGAGCCCATGGCCGGGGGGAGGCTCGGGCATGGCAGGCTGCAGGTCCCGTGCCCTGCCCTGCGGGGAGGCAGCTGAGGCCCGGCGAGAATTTGAGCACAGCACCGGTGGGCTGGCACTGCTGGGGGACCTGGTGCACCCTCTGCAGCTGCTGCCGCAGGTGCTAAGCCCCTCACTGCCCGGGGCCGGCAGTGCCAGCCAGCCACTCCGAGTGCGGGACCCGCCGAGCCCACGCTCACCAGCACAAGCGCCACGCGCAGCTCTGGTTCCTGCCCACACCTCTCCCTCCACACCTCCCTGCAAGCAGAGGGAGCCAGCTCCAGCCTCGGCCAGCACAGAGAAGGGCTCCCACAGTGCAGCAGCAGGCTGAAACGCTCCTAAAGCATGGCCAGAGTGGGTGCCGAGGCCGAGGAGGTGCTGAGAGTGAGCGAGGGCTGCCAGCACGCTGTCACCTCTCAGATTGGGAGCGCTTTTCTGTAACAATATCATTATTGTGCTATTTAGGAGAATGGATGACTACTGTAGGTATTATACTAATGGTATCTACTGCTTTTGTAGATTCAAAGCAATTCAGTGGGTTGTGGGAATATAATGTGAAAGGAAAATAAAAACTTGGGTCCCCAATTCACTCTGCCAAAAAGAAAAAATTAAACTACAAGCTGAGTCATGCAAGAAGCTGCCTTTCCTTTTGTACCTAAGCAGATAGCTACAGATAAAAGGTTAAATATCTCCACAGGTAGCTACTTTATGTTCACCTGTCTTAGGTAAACAGCTGATTTACCTGTGAACATGTAATTGACTATTATCCTACTTGATCCTTTTCTTTTGCAACTTGTGGATTACCATACCCTACCTCTTTCCCCTCCAGCCCACTTTACCCCTTTAAATATTGAAGCCCTTGAATTCAACTTTGGAGAAAGGCACACACCACAGACTGTTTCTGTGATTCTGTGTCATTTTCTTCTGGGTGTGTCTTTAACCTTGGCAAAATAAACTTCTAAATTGATTGAGTCCTGTCTCAGATACTTTTTGGTTTACAATAATGTAATATCTCTTTATATATTATTTTTATCCAAAATAGGTAAGAAAGAAACAAAATTTCATTAATATTTACTACACAGTTTGACTCTCTTTCCCTCAGTTGGTCTGAATGACATTTGGTTACACATCACCATAATTTGTTGTCTAAGTAACACAAGATATTTTGTTAGTAGAAGTTTCACAGTTAGGGTTTCCTTGATTTGAGCATATCGTGACAAAATATCAATTTAGTAGGTATCTATCCTATATAAACTTCCCGATGAAGTTACTAGATGGTGAGTGTTTAAAACAATAACAGGCAGAGTAGGCACTAATTGAGTGTCAGCATTATCATTATTGATTATATTATTATTAAGTATTCTGGTTCTATCTGAATTCACTCAAAAAATAGTTGGCTTTAAGAGTTTCTGCAGAGATACACAAGTTGAAAATTATACTGGTTATGTAAACACAAATGGGGAAAATCTAAACATAAAAGCTGATATTTCTCCATTTTCTAACACAAATACTTTGCCAGCTACACTATGAGCTCAAAAACATTCAAGTCTATCAGGAAGGTATATATGAATTTACATTATTGTTAATTACAAATCTTATCTTATGGGGTCTATTGTGCCTTCAGATATAAACTGATGACAGTGTGAAGTCATTACAGTGAGACATTTAAAACCTAAACATTTAGAACATGAAGTTTGAGTATGATATGACATGCAATGACCTGAGAAAAAATCCTTTTTTTTTTTTTTTGATACTGGATCTCACTCTGTGACCCAGGCTGGTGTGCAGTGGCAAGATCTTGGCTCAGGGCAACCTCTGCCTCCTGGGCTCCAGTGATCCTTCCACTTCAGCCTCCTGAGTAGCTGGGACTATAGGTGTGTGCCACCACAACCAGCTAATTTTTTTTTTTAAGTAGAGTTGGGATTTCACCATGTTGCCCAGTCTAGTCTGGAACTCCTGGGGTGAAGTAACCCACCTGCCTCTGCTTCCCAAAGTGTTGGGATTACAGGCGCGAACCACCATTGTCGGGACTGAAAAAATCTTTAGAACTGTCTTTTGTGTCTTCCTTAATAGTGGAAGATAAAAAGTCATAGTCATTTGGGAAAACACTTACTCTTATCATAGAAGTGGCTGAAATAATACTGAGAAACCATATTATCACATGCTATATTGCAGTTCTATGTCAGTAAATATTCTTAAAAAACATGTGGACAACATTGCTGAATATGTGAAAGAAGTATTAGGAAAATTACTCGGTACTGGGAGATGGACTATAGAATTGCACTGATTCTGTTTCAAGAATGAAAATCTTGAAGAGCTACTTTTTATGAGGCTCTGAAGGAAACATAGAGACAATAGATTGTCAGGAGTGAGCAAATTCTTTGGTAAAAGCAAGGATTTGGGGGAGGTGGTTATGAAGGGTGTTCATAAAGAGAAATAGGTAAATATAACCACTAATAGAGTTGGCTGCTTGACTGGAAATAAAATAACAATCCCCAGGTAAGTTCACAAAACTAGCTCCTTCCGTGGAATTCATTATTTCATAGGCAAGCTGTTGCCGCAGAGATGTTAGAACCTGAATATAAAATCTGAATAGTATTTTATAATGAGATGTGCAATGACTTTACTGTGGACTGTCTTCTTGTAATCTTGTGGCCATGTACTTCAAATGATGAATTTTACAAAAAGTTAAGTGTCCCGCACTTGCAGTAATAATCTGGAGCTTTTTATAGCGTACTCCCTTGGAGATATTTCCAGGGCGAAGATGACATTTTTAACAATGAAAAACTACCTGCTTTCTGGTAACCTTACCTTGGAGAGAATATTTTGAAATGAATGTTTGGATATGTTTTCTCATTATACAAATATGTCACTGAAAATGATGTAAACACATCATGTATAAAATCTGTGACATAGGGAGACTATAAACTTAAAAGCAGAATTTCCTAATCAAATAAAGAGCTTAGATGAGATTTGAAATATTTATTAGAAATATGAAAGTGAAATGTCATGTGGTTAGTTTGTAAGAACTTAGTGACCATAGGGAAAATTGGAATTTACTATTGCTACCTGAATTGCAACAAAATCTTTTTGTAATTGGTGGATTAAAATGAAAAATAAGAGTCATTTTCCATTTGTGTCTATACATTTTTGTAATCTTTCTTTTTCGGCCTTTGAAGACCATTAAAACAAAACACCAAGATAGACTGAACTTGAAGCCAGTCCTTTATATTATTGACTCACAAAGTTTTAATACAAGATATTTAATATAAGATATGAAGCATATTCAGTTGCATAGCATTCATAACTCAAGCAAAATATTATCTGTTCTATTAAAATATAAAATGTAGACATTTTTTCTTATTTTTAATTTTAATTTTTAAATAAGATATGTAAGTATTGAAGTACAGATATAGTTAAAATAATTTTATTAATATGCTCCTTTTTGCAAATGTGTGTTCAAATATTTGCTTATGGAGTATGTCGTAGGCTGAATTATCCTCAAAGATATCCAGTTTCGAATTCAGGGAACCTATGAATGTTGCCTTATATGACAAAAGGGACTTGGTGATTAAGTTAAGGATTTTGGGGAGATTTTCCTTGATTATCTGGGTGAGCTCTAAATGTAATCACAAGTGTGCTTATAAGGGGGAAGCAGAGTGAGATTTGACTGCAGAAGAGGAGAAGGAGATGTAATGGCTGAAGTAAAGGTTGGAGTGATGCACTTTAAAGATGGAGGAAGGGACCACAAGCCAAGGAATGTAGAAAGCCTTTAGAAGCTGAAAACAGTGAGGAAACAGATTCTCCCTGGCGAGCTTCCAGAAAGAATCAATCTTGATCATATTTTTACTTTAGCCTAATTACACTAATTTCAGACTTCTAATGTCTAGAACTGTTAGAGAAAAAAATTATGTTGTTTTAAGCCACTGTTCATGGTAACTTGTTACAGCAATGTTGGGAAAATAATACTAGGTATGTAGGAAAAGAAATTTGAAGACCATTATCTCTACTTTAGTTTCTAACTTAATGAAAATGCTTTTGCTAGGGGTTACTGAAAGTAACCTTAGATGTTTTATAGCATCCTGTTTTTTATTTATTGACTTATTTATTTACTCACTCACTCACTTGCTGGCTGGCTGTCATTTTGCTGATTTCCATGAGTTTCTGGACCAGATCCTAGTATTCAACTTCCAATAACATTTTCAGGTGTTTTTTTTTTTTTTTTTGAAAGATTACATGAATAACGTAATGGCAGAATCAAATTTAGAAACTCAGCAAAAAAAAAAAAAAAGCTTTGTGTTTCAACATGAATTTCTTTTTTTTTTTTTTTTTTTGAGATGGAGTCTTGCTCTGTTGCCCAGGCTGGAGTGCAGTGGCACAATCTCAGCTCACTGCAAGCTCCACCTCCAGGGTTCACACCATTCTCCTGCCTCAGCCTCCCGAGTAGCTGGGACTACAGGCACCCGCAACCACGCCCAGCTAATTTTTTGTATTTTTATTAGAGACAGGGTTTCACCATGTTAGCCAGGATGGTCTCAATCTCCTGACCTCATGATCCACCTGCCTCAGCCTCCCAAAGTGCTGGGATTACAGGCGTGAGCCACCATGCCCGGCCAACATGAATTTCAAAGGCAAAAATGCTTTCACATATCTCAATTAGGCAGCCTTGAAAATAAAACTTAAGAAGAAGCTCTCTTTTAAAATATATTTATAGCTAAAGGTTTAAAATAACATGGGTTAAAAAGTGGTACTAGCCTTCCAGGTGCTCAGGTTGCTAATCTGAATTTGTATATGCTATGACAAAGAAATGGTTCATTTTATTGAGCACATATCAATTGAACATGAGCTATTTAAGGTGGTTAGTATTACAGGTGCATCGTAAATTGAAGAAGGTTGAGCAGTTAAATGCTTGAAGATGAGAATGTTCTTTTGAGGAGAGATGAAGGCTTTCCTGAAGTCCGTGATATATTATATTGCTTGCTCCTCACTTGTCTTTGTGTCCTAGTGCTCTGTCTTAAAGATATTTAATTTGGTTTCTTCAAGAAATGAGATTGGTTTAACAAAAATGCACTTCAGCAGGCACCAGACATTTACCAGATTCATTCTTGAACCACTATTGCCATAAATTGTGGCACAATGAAATTAACATAAACTGGGATTAGCTTGGAGAAAAGAGAAGGCTGATTATTTTAATGATGGATTATACTATTAATATTAAATCTCTTTATGAGAATCAAAACTAACAGAAACCATTAGGTTCTATTATGGTATTTGCCAAAAAAATAAAATTTAGAAGTATGTAATTTTTTCACCAAAGAATTTGACTCCTGTAAAGATCCAGTGGATCTTTCCGGTTAGTAACCTACATGTGAATGAATAAGATGAGTACATGTGTGTTTTCTTTCTCCTCTTTGTCCTTTGTCGAATTTCTAAGCCATCCCTTAACTCCAAGCTTCTACCTGTATGTGAACGAATTGGGTGTATATTTCCTACAAGGCTGCACTCTGAAATAATGCAGATAAATTCTGTGCAAGATAGTTTTAACATTTTAATGTTTGAGTCTGAAGATACTATGTTTTTTTTCAAAACCAGCATAAACCAAAATTTTTAGACCATCATCAAGTTTTTACATTATTTTAACAATCTACTCTTGAAAAATCATATCTACATTATTTAAATATATAAGTTATTATTTTTAAATAATTCAGTTTAAAAGTATTTCTTAGGGCTTATTTACAAATATTTTTTGGTGGTCCATTTGCAATGAGATGATAAGTGTTGTCCTTTCACAAAAATTAGGTTTTTCTGTAATATACTTTGAACAGGAAACACATGCAACAATGAAGAATATTTAACAAAATCCATAGTGAATAGGTCCTGTGGAGGATCACAAAGCCCCAGTAGCTTATAAAGTCAGGTGGAAAATATGTTGTCCATAAATATGTGTAATACAAGGCAGTTTGAGTCATCAAGAAGTGTTTCATGGATGAGTCCATATCTGAGCTTGGAGCTGAGGGATGGTAGAAATTGGACAAAGGACAAATGGGAGAAATGAAAATGTGTTTGTGAAAAGCAGAGTTATCTAGTGTAGTTTAATAGTAACCATTATGTCCAAACTTTATACCAAAAATTTAAGATACCAGATAGGGAGTTTGGACTTAAATTTTTAAACAGTGGGATTTTTTTTCTTCTATTAAATCTCTGACAGGTCTAACGTGATCTTGAGGGAAGTCTAATTTGGTGGTAATAAGTAGAAGGGACTGGAGATGAAGAGATGGGGGCAGGGGGATCAGGTTAGAGAGATGACATCTAGGAAATTAGAGAAGACAATCAGGTGTGACGATTAGGAACATTACCAAGTAAAATAAAAACAACTAATTTTAGAAATTACATTGAGAAACTGAATTTAAAGTTCCCTTTTATGTCAGAGTTTAAAGAGTTTTTGCTTGATTTCCAGTATCAGATATGGGTATTACAGCTTCTTCTTTAGGACATTGATGCTTTAATTAAAAATATATATGAATATATTAATGACACCTTACAGCATTTCTTGGCTTTCAGATACTTTTATACTTCCATTTGCAGTAGTTTCTTAAATTGTCATTCTACATCTGTTATTGTTACGATACAGAAAACTCAATCCTTTATAGCACTTTTGAAATAGATTCTTCCCCTTCTACTAAAATTGTTTCCTTAAATATCTCTGGTGATATCTTAGTTTCAGATCCAAAGGCTCTGACTTCCTCACCCTATTTGACCCACATACTGTGATGTGTTTGCTCTCGACAGATGTATTATCTTCCTGCTCAAATTTGTTTCTCCTCCTGTGTTCCTTACGTCAGCTGATGGCAGCACCATCTGTGCGTTGTTTCAGGTTTAAAACTATGGATCAATCTCCAGTTCCTCCTTTACCCTCAGTGTCCAGTTAGTTTTCAAATCCATTTTTCCCTTCCCTTGAATACTCTACATCACATTTCATTTTTTCCCTAGTTTAGGTTCTTCTTAGCTGTATTTTATTTTTTAAAGATGTTCATTTTACTTGCTTCTTTCCTGGGACTATTATTATAAGAGACAGAGGTCTGATCATCTTGTTCCTATTTTTTATGGACCTGGTATAGTCTGTGTGGACTTCCTGGATGACCAACAACCACAAACCAATTCACTGTGCCAGAGAGAAACTGCAGCCCCAGCTTAGAGTGAAGGGGGTTCGTGTGGGTCACAGAAGGACTGGTAGGCATTTTCTAAATTTAGATCATTTCCATGACTATTGGAAAGAACCCTACCTCCCCACCTCCACAAAAGGCTGATGATTGTGCTTCAAAGTAAATGGAAGTGGACCGAGGAGTATTTATTTATTTCCTGAGCTGAAATCAGTGTTGTCCATCTCATTTAAAATGCAAAACTTCCAATTCAAAGAAACAGTGTATATATAGGCAAAAAGCAAAGAATGTTTTGCATTGTTTGACTAGCTAGTCAAAGCAAAACCGAATAACTCTACCTCAGAAGTGTCTTCACTTAATGGTAAGATCTGTTCAAAGGCACGTCAACATGGTCAAAATTAGTTATATAGTTCTTCTGAGTTTTAGCCAAGGACTTTAACCATCCTGATGGGGAAATGATACAAAAGTTTAAACATAGTTGCAGATATTCAATGTCTTGATTATTTAAAGAAGACATAATTTATTTTCTTACTGATGCTATTATGAGTGTTCTTGTTTTTCTAATTCCATGTTTCAGATGTTCTTATTAGTATATAGGATAGCTGATTTTTATGTATTGATCTATATGTTGCATCCCTGCTACACTCATTTATTAGGGCCAGTAGTTTTTTGGTGGGTTACTTGGTGTTTCCAATGTATGCAATCATGACATTTGGAAATACGGTTTAACTTCTTTTCCAATCTGGATGCCTTTCATTTTTTTCTCTCTCTCTCTCCTTCCCTTCCTTCCTTTCTTTTATGACCTAATTTCACTTTCAATAATAACAGTTCTTGTCTAAAAATCTTTTTTGTGTGACTGGATGTAGCTGTTTCACCTCTTACGGTTAATGTTTTCATCATGTGCATTTTTTGTGTTCTTTTACATTCAACCTATTTGTAGTTTTTAATCTATGATGTGTCTATTATAGAGAGCATACAGTTAGATCATATTTTTTATCCTGACAACCTCTACATTTTGATAGAATGTTTAGAACATACATATTTTGTGTGATATAATTGGATTTGCATTTGCCATGTTGTTTTTTCATATGCCTGCTGTATTTTTTGTACCTGTATTCCTCCATTCTTGCTTTCTTTTGTGCAGAATAGTGTGCCATTTTGAAACCTCTGTTGATTTCTTTACTATGTATTTTTTGAGTTATGCTCTTAATTCTTATGTACTCGGGGATTGCAATATGTGTTATTTTAATTCATCTAAAATCGTAACTTCACAGTCTACTTCAGAATAATACTCATTTAATTCCAGTAAAAGATAGAAAACCTGCTCCAACATAGCTTCATTTCCTTTCCCTTCCTTCATACTCTTTTTTTGTGACATATACACCCATACATCATACATATATGTTCCAAACCCAATAAGATACTATTATAACTATTTAACTGTTTCTTTATACATTCTTATCTCTTTTAAAGACGTTAAGAAATAAAATTTTTACAGTCTTTTATGTTAATCCACACATTTTCAATTTCTGACATTTTTTATTTATTTCTTTGGAATTGAAGGAAGCTCCTTCAGAACTTTCTTTTGTATTTAACTGTGCTAGGAACAAATTCTCAGTCTTTGTTTATCTGCAAATGTCTATTTTGCCTTCATCTTTTGAAAGATGGGATATGAGATTCTTGATTGAAAGGTTTTTTTTCTTTTGGTTCTTTGTCATCTCACTGCCTTCTGTCTTCTCTTTTGTCAGATGAAAAGTCAGCCATTAATCATATATCCATTTGATGGGATGTGTATTATTTTTCTCTTACTGCTTTAAATACTTCTATTTTTGTCTGACTGTCATGCAAACAATTTGACTGCAGTGTGTCTGGGTGTGGATCTCTTTGTATTTATCCTACTTCAGGTTTATTGTGCTACTTAGATGTGTAAACTAATATTTTTCATCAAATTGGAAGTTTGGGGCCATTCATTATTTGTTTAAATGCATTTTTCTGACCGCTTCTTTCTCTCCTATTCTTCTGAGACTCCCATTACACGTATATTGATGTACTTGACGTTATTCCACTGGTTTCTGAGGCTCTGTGCATTTTTTTGTCAATGATTTTTTTTTCTGTGTACTTCAGATTGAATAATTTCTGATAATCTATCACTGATTCTTCTTCAATCTGCAATTGAACCTCTTTAGTATATTTATTATTTTAGTTATTGTATTCAAATACAGATTTTCCATTTGATTTATTTTTGTAATTTTTGCATCCTTTTTGATAATTTCTATTGGTTGATTCATTGTTTCCATACTTTAATTTTTAAAGCATGCTTTCCTTTAGTTCTTTAAACATATTTATAATAGCCGCCTTGAAGCCTTTACCTGCTAAATGCCTTTGTCAAGGCACTCAGAGAGTTTCTCAAGACTATGTTTTCCCCACAGAATGGGTTACACTTTCCTGGGCTTTTACTGTCTGTGTCATAATTTTTTGTTAAAACTGGACATTTTAGATAATATAACAACCCTGAATTCTTTTATGTCTCTATTGAAGGTTATTGTTGCTGGGTTTTTTTATTTTTTCTTTGTTTAGTAAATTGTCTGAGCTGAGTCTGTGACATGTCTCTCCTTGATGGGTGGCCAATAACGTCATTGCTTAATGTTTTAAAAAAATTATTCTTATTTTTATTTTAAGACTAGCTTTCTAGAGACTTTGCTATTCCTTCATAGCTTAGAGTTCAGGTAATGATGGTACAGAGATTGTGCTCAGACACTTTGAGGAGTAAGTTTTTAGTCCTCTACCAGCCAACCTGTCCGTGGATAAGGAAATGTATAAGAAGTTCAGGTCATTTTCAAGTCTACCAAGATTTACTTCCTGCTGGTTCCTAGGTGTCTTTCTTGTGCATGTGCAACTTCAGTCAAAAATATACTGAGTTAGAGCTGGTAGAGGATCACCAGGTGTGTGCTAGCAGATCTGTTGGACCTCCCTGGGATGTGTCACTTTCATAGATGGTGCAGTGTGCATGGCATCTGCTCCAAATCAAGTGAGTTCCCTTTGACAAGGTGGCACAGCTACTGGTCTTCACAGCTAGCCCATGTCATGACATGGTAGAACCTCCACATTAGTCGAGCTGTGGGGAGATGGGAGTAGCCCAGGAAAGAACACCACAGATTTACTGTTCTTACCCAAATTGTGGCAGTTTTTAAGCATAAAAGTTTCTTATATTTTTGTATGCCTTTGGTTAATTTCCACAGCTCTGAAAGTGTTATTTTTGTCAATTTTATCCAGCTGGCTTTTTAAGGAGAAGATTTGCCAACCTTCTCACTTGGTCATGGGGGGAGGTGCATATAATTTATTTAAAAAATGCAGCGTATAAATATTTTTATCTATCCTGAATTGATCCTTCAACATAAAAAAGTGTTATGTTATGGCTGTATCTTATCAGGTGCTCAGCTTCTAGAGTTATCTTTCAAAAATATTCTTTGATTTCTTTGTATTACCTATAAACTCCTTCAGAGCCAAATTATGTGTTAAGTGAGATGGACTTTTTGGTTACTGTATTTTTTGTGTTCCATTAGCTTCAACTATAGGTTTATCATCTGTAAAGATTAATAGGACTCTGAAGTACCTCCAGATCACCTGCTGTTAAGTCAGAGTCACATCTCACAAATACAGCTCTAGTTTCAGTTCCATATAACATTCCTTGGCCTCATATCCAAAGGTATATACCCTGACCTAGTTGTTTAATTACACCATATCTAATTCTATCATCAAGATTCTTCAACCAGAAAATATTGTATCTCCTATGGAAGTGGTGACTCACCTGCAGTCAGCAAAGGAAAGCCCTCTGTATTTAAATATATCTACAGCACATCCATCCAGACAGGATCACAGTATTATTGCCTTCCAGCACTTTTGCTCCTGCTAGTACATTCCCAGAGGAGCTCATGTGAGGCTACCAGCTTCTAAAATGGCCCTTAAGCCAAAGTCGTGGAGTATGGGGTATTCATGACTCCATTCTCTCTGTGTGTGTGTGTGATTTTTTTAGAGCAGGCTCACTGTCACATTTAGGTTTTTTTTTTTTTAAATCAATCACAAATGTTACCACAAATGGACAGGGCAATAAAAAGAAAACAACTGGGAGGCAGGCTGATATGACCTTGTGGAAGGCAGTCTGGTATGAGTTTTAGGCTAAGCAGATAGGTCTTTTAATAGTTTCTGGCTTAGGGCATGTCACTCAGTTTTCTGATTCACTGGTTACTCATTTCTAAAGTGGGGATAATAATACTTATTTCATGATGAGAATTAGGACCTAGCACAAAGAGGACCCTTAAAAAGTGATATAGCTATTATTACTTGTATAATTGTCTCTACATTTTTTTATATTCTTGAAACTGCATAGAAATTTCATGCTAGTACAATTCCTGGCAAGAATTCCAAGGTGTTGAATGTCTCAGTCTGAGTCTGCTTGGAGTTTCTAGATTTTATTATACTTCATTGTTTTTTAAATAACAGATTTCTTAACTTGGAGCCCAACTTCCCAGAACATGATTCCGATATACTTCTGTGACTAGAATTTATGTGTTTTAAACACAACTTAGGAAAGTGGGCCAAGGATGTTGGTAGAGGATCACTAGGTTCGATGTCATTGAGTGATAACAGACCAGTACACAGAAATAGTGGGCTTTGGAGCAGAGAAAGAGTTTAATAATTGAATGGCAACCAAATGAGGAGGTGGGAGGGAACCTCAAATCCTCTTCCCAGAGGGATACTGGACTAGGATTTTTAAGGGGATTTTGGTACATAGAGGGCTGAGGAGCTTAGGGCTGCTGATTAGTTAGGGCAGTGGGGATGAAGTCATAAATTGTATTCTTATGTTGAATAAGTTCTTTAGAGGGGATCTTCAGACTGGCTGGTGTCAGTGGAATACAGGATCTGAAAATATCTCAACATGAGAAACATGAGGCTTCTTAATGTTAAGGATGTTATCTACAGAAATAAGGACCTTGTAACAGGGGCTATGTGATTTTTAAGCAGTAAGTACCTATAAGGAAGTGGACTATAGGGCAGGCTGGTTAATGCTTAGCTATGCTTCTACTCAAAGTGTATGCTTTTATTGAAAAACCTAGCAATTTAATTTTATTAATTTTATAAGAACAGTTTCAATGTTACTGAGTTGATTTCAGCTTGATTTGTTCAAACTGATACTGAGTAATTAATTTAGCTCTTGCCATTTCAAATTAATTTAGATGAAATTAATCCAGCTCATTTTCAGAGAATGAGACACCTGCAAACAGTGAGATGGTTGGTATTTGTATGGTTATGCCTGAACGAATCTGCACTATATTACATAATTAATTGAATTTGAAGACATCATCTTATCACCTACACAACTTTAATTGTGGAAGCCATACTTACTGTCTTCGCTTTTCTCTTCTCCTTTTGACTTTTGTGAAACTCTAGACAAGTCGGAATCTGTTGGTTGCCCTCATCTATGTGTTTGTGTGAATTATTTTTCCTTCTTCAAGGAGGGCATGAGACAAGGAACTATGGCTGTTGTGGCAAAGGTCATATTCCAGACAATTAAGTTGACCTGGTTACTGTAAAAGATATTTTTTGTCCCAGATACTATATCAGGCAAGAAACCTATGAATGGATTCTACAAAATATCCCTGTCACAGAACTCCCTAGAGACAACACTGTTGCTCATCAGAAATGTTCACTGAAGGCTCTATCAAGTGTGTTCAATCTGTGGTCTACTGAGATCCTGCAGACGGCAAAGCTGAGATATTACTGCAAATAACAAGTATTTGTGACTAACAAATACTTAGCTCATACACTATTTTTGTCTTAGTTATTGCTGATCCTTGTTATCATGAATAGGCTAACATGTAGGATATTTCCTACATACGTAATAAACACACACACGTGTGTGTGTGTGTGTGTGTGTGTGTGGTGTTAATTTTTTTTTAAAAAAAAAAACCTTTTTTGAGGAAAGAGTGAAAATGTGCTCCAAAGTAATTCGTGGCTAGAGGAACTGCAACAGTGTTTCAAATATTTCCATTTATATGTTTGTTCTGTGGTGTGTTATTCGTCCATTTATTCATACATTTATTCAAACATCTCTAAACTCTGAATTTAGTAGTAAGACTCCATAACTCTTCAAATAGTAGATTTCTCAACCTAGAGCTCCACTTTTCAAAACATAATTCTGACATACTTGTTCGGGATACTTGTTTTCCAGAGAGTTGGTATGTGGAGCTTTTATTGAGATTGTGATTTTTTTTATCATGAATAAAAAGATAGAAACCAGTCTGCCTGAAGTGAGTTTGAATTAGCAATGTTGAGAGGCAGGAACCTACATCAGAGGAACCATTAGTTTGCATATATGACTTTCAAGATACATAGTATCTTGAGGCTCAATTCATAGCAGAAGTCTCTTTTCTGCTTTGTCTTTGAGTGGTTTGCTTGCAAAGTTCCAGGTAATTGTATGCACATCAACAATGGCTCCCTCTCAAGATATATGTGAGCTGATGTGATGTAAGCCAACATTAGAATTAGAGAGGTATGATGGAATGGTTCATCCAATGAGTGTACCTTCTAGTTTTGCACTGACACGTCTGAGTCATTTGAATTTTAAAATAATTGTAAAAATCAGATGAATTGGCCTATCTACTTAATATTAAAGGATGTTGTATTATGAAAGATGCATGTCAAGGAGCAAAATGAACACCGAGCAAACCATATGGGATGCTACGAATTCACTAGGGATTTTCATAATTAGCTGCTAAGTTGGCACAGCTGTGGGTCTTTGTAGCCGCAATGTACTGCTAATTACCACTCATTTAAACGTGCTGCTATATCCTCTCTCACCTGGACCTTTCTATTGGCAAGAATGCCAAGGGAATGACTTGAGTGTTTCTGAAGATTCAAAGGATTTAAGACCGGGGAAAACCCAGAGACATCAGCTTCATTTGTTAGGATCACATTTAGCCTTGTCTTTCAAAAAGCTGACCTGAACGAATGAGTTGACACAGGAAAAATCTTTCCTTCTTGGAGGCAATAATGTTAACCTCTGGCGCAAAGTGGGATGAAGGGAAAAAGAACATGACAAGAAAAACTACCCAGAACTATGAACAGAGGTGTGAAGCTCTGGAAATAATATTTCCAAACTAGGAACATGGTGTAATGTTATGATTGGGGTTTTGAAGCAATGTAAAGAGGAAAAAGTGAACTAAGATTTTTCTTAGATCTTGCCTGTTACTTCCTTTCTACAGTATTTCCTACGAGTCAATGGGATACAACACCATGGTTTTTTTTGTCACTGGAGAATATATAAACATTTTAAAGGATATTATTCCCCATCTGGTAAGTGACATTTTGCCTGGTTCATGTCTCTAGTTGGTAAATTAAAACAACAACCACCACTTTATCTTTCGGAGGACATAGAATTTGATATCTCCATCATTTGGGGAGAAGTCGACACTCAACAGTTACAGTGCCTTCCTGAAGGCCACACAGCAGATGGGCGCCTAAGCAAAAACAAACCTGCCTCAACTTCAGACCATCTGCTCTGTTTTAAAGTATACTGTTTTCACATCTCTTGGTGGAAGAACAGCTTTTCTCTTAATTTATATCTCTCTGATTCTGAGCTCTCAATCTGATTTAGGGTTTTCTTAAATTAGGCAGATAAAATTATAACTTATTGGCATTGTCCAGGTTATCATGCATTGATTTTCTTCTTTCGATCTCTTTGAAGTCGGATAAGTATTTTTCCACTTCATAGGCAGGGAAGCTCAGCCCGACTCCCCTGAGGTATCTTGGCTAGTTACCCATGAGATCTGAATTCCATGTTCCTGGTACGGGGATTTACTGCTGTCAAACTGTCAACATTAACTACATCATTCATTTGCAAAATACATTTTGAGATACCTGTGTTATGTCAAAGGTCACTTGGAGCCCAATTGAAAGGCAGTGTGAAAAGCATAATTAACTTGTTTGCTTTTGTGCTGGAAACCTAGTGTTAACAAAACAGCCCAACCAAAAGCAGATTTGTCATTAGGGCTCTAACTGCCTGTATCCCTATAGTGTATGTGCATCTGTTTGATTTTCCAGAAATAGATGAAATCATAGTTTGAGGTTAGTTCATCAAACATCGAACATTTTCTTTGTGTAAGTCATTGTATTAGGGCTGCTGCTGGTGGTGGCGGTGGTCATGAGGTAGAGTGGGATCCAAGCTGAGTGACAGTGTTGCGTGGCAGAACACGTTGATTAATCTTCAGCAGGAATATGGTGTATCTAGATTCTGTGGCAGTCATGCCAATGAAGTAGAAATATCTTTGCTGGCAGACAGTGATCTCCAGGATATATCAGTAAATTTAAAAATGGTAATTTATATAGCGTGAACCCATTAATGGAAAAAGCTAATCTATATATTTCTACATGCCATGAATGTTTCTACTGCTATGAATACATAGCATATGTATACATGTAAATGCATAGAAAAAGGACTGCAAATAGGCCAGGCGTGGTGGCCTGTAATCCCAGCACTTTGGGAGGCCGAGGCAGGCGGATCATGAGGTCAGGAGATCGAGACCATCCTGGCTAACACGATGAAACCCCATCTCTACTAAAAATACAAAAATTTAGCCGGGCGTGGTGGCGGGTGCCTGTAGTCCCAGCTACTCAGGAGGCTGAGGCAGGAGAATGGCGTGAACGTGGGTGGAGGAGCTTGCAGTGAGCCGAGATTGTACCACTGCATTCCAGCCTGGGTAACAGGGCCAGACTCTGTCTCAAAAACAAAAACAAAACAAAACAAAAAATATATTAAAAAAAGAAAAAGGACTGGAAATATGCACACTATAAAGGGAAAGTGAGTATAATTAAATTTGGAAAGAGAATTTTCAGTTTTCCAGTGTTGTTTGACGTCCCTACAAGGAGATGTTTTTATGTGTGATTTTATGTGTGATTTAAAAATATGAAATAGTGTGCATAGGTGGGGACCTTCACGCCGAGGGAGAAAAAAATATAAGCAAAGGCATCAGGATGTGAAATGGAGTAGTTTATTAGTATGCAGTTTTTACACATAATAATGAGAAGGATGGTGGCTTAATGTGGCTTATATAGTCCTAAATTATTGGTTGTTATTCAGTTAAGGTAATGACATGTTTCAGTAGGTTTTTAAGTGAGTTAGGCAGATACAACTCTGGAAGCCAAGTAGTTGATGGATACTTTGGTTGGAAACCTAATTGATTTTTACATAGCCTCTCCAGAGCCAGCAAAGCCAGATGCTGCTTTGTGGTTATTCTTGAGATTTTTTTCCCCCTCTAAGACTATACAGTGTTTGCCAGGCAGGGGAGGATGGTGACCAGTTTGTATTTAAAAAAAAAAAGAAACAAGAAAAGGCACACAGCCATGCTGCTGGCTTAAAGTCTGTTACCTTTCCCAAAGTATATATATTCTGATAAAATCGGTGTTGTCTCCATATGAAAAGTATTATTACCCTCCTGCAAGCTTGCTTTAGGCACTATTCTGGGTAGAATAGACAGACACAGATGTTTAGACAGACTGAATCTCTTTCTCTGATTTAATTTTGCATTACAGGTAAACGCCATATGTAATGTGTAAGAGGCGGGTAGGTAAACATGCTCAACTGCAGTTTTTGGTTTTGTGTTCCGATGTGATCTGAGTATTTCGAAGCACTTATAATGCAGAGCGTACTATATGAAAGTTCTCATGATTTGGGAGCACACTCATAGTAAGGGCAAGGAACGTTCTTTCACATTGAAGTTCTAAAAATTAACTGTCTCAGTAATAAGACTTAAGCAAAAACAAAGTAAGACTAAGGAAAAGATGATAATTTTCAAATGCTTGCAAATGGGAGCCTCTACTCCCCATGTTTGTAAAATGTTTTACCTTATCTTCCATTCCTGGCATTAGGAGTCATTTTGGTTCGGGGCCATTTATTGAAGCTGATCTTTAATGAATGAATGAGACCCTTTATTTTCCAGTGATGCTGCTTTATTTTTGGGAAGTGGGAACAAAGGCCTGACATGCTACCATGGGTATAACTGTACAAATTTCAATGTTATTTGAAGAAATAGACATCTAAATGAAGAAATACTTTTAGTTGTTGACTTTAAAAGGTACAAATTATGCTGATGATTCTGTTTAAAATAACTAGATCATTTTTCTTTAGAGCAAAACAGACAACACTACAAATCTCTGATGTGTATTAAGTTTTCCTGAAAGGTAAACACTATTTTTTTTTTTAACTGTCTCAGCTTTTCTATTACATTTGTGTGTGTAGGGGGAGCTGGGTACAAAGAGAAAGCATGGTGAAGATGACTCAGAACAAAATGGGTGGCGTTTGTAAGACACAGGGAATTGCCTTTGAAGATTGTTGGCGTGTTTATTTATGCTAACTCCCACGATCTGAAAAAATAGCTGTAGCAGGCTCATTACTCTGTGGAAAAATAAAATTCATTTGACAGGATTAATTCATTTGAAACCCATGTGGTTTTCAAGGATCTTTAAAATAACATGAGATATTACAGCAATCCTTACTTTAACATTTTGATCTAAGCAAAGGCATGAAACAATTTAAATACACCCAGAATATGAAGTTTTAAATGTTACCGGAAAGTGTCTTTTCTTGACAATACTGGAACATTTTGGATGTTATGAACAGGTGCAAAATTATAGATTTGTGTTTTCAAACACTATTTGTGCGAAGTAGAATCCATGCAAGAACCGATTTTAAGAAACAAGTGGTGCTTCATCATTTCCAGAAATGGAGAGGAATTACAATATGCAAAACTAATGATAATAGCTCACTTATTTTAAGTTCTTTTTATATTCTTGACACTGTGATAAGCTCTCTACATATATTATTTCATTTATTCATAACAACCCTATGAGAAGGGTATAATTATTATCCAATTTTTTTTAGGGAAGGAAACCAAAGATTATAAAAGTTAACAGCTAATAAGTAATGAGGCCAGTATTTTTGCTTAGGTGGTCTGTGTATAGAATCCATGCTCTTAACTATTAGGATATGCTGATTCTAAAGCAATTAATAAATGTTGGTCTGAAATCAGTCTAATGGCACGCTGGAAACAGCTCTTAGACACTGCCAAGGGTTGATTGTTAGATATTTTGGATTTTTGTAAGCCAATTTGTAAACTTTGATACTTTGAAATCAGCAGTGATTGGAGTATTTACACCACAGAAATGGGCAAATGCTACAAATCAAGGCATTTTTTTTCAAGTCAGTTCACCAGCACACCATTTGATAACATAGCGCCCTTTCAGCAGTGCCAAAGTATAAGCCCTCACATTTTAAATGGATATAAATGAAATAAACACTTACATTAACAGTTTTTTTTACATTAGCATTTGTCTTGATCTCAAGAGGACAGACTATAATTAGTATGGTTAGAACTTTAAAAATGAAATTTAAGAGTATGTATTCCTAAATTCCAGAGTAGAAGAGAGTCCTTTTCCTAGCCTTTGAACTTTTATATGAGGATTTTAGAAAGAAAGCCCTTGTCTGGCCAACTGCAGACTTTAAATGCAGTTAGCTGTGCCAGATTTGAGAGGACTCTTTGCTGGCTGAAATTGTCTGAGCAGGAATGGAAAGTGATTGGGTTGGGTAAACAGGAGCCCATGATAGGAGGATGGCAGAAGCCAGAGAAGGAAATTTTATTTAAAAAAAAAAAACAAAACAGAACAAAACATGGGAACCAGTGGGGTTTGTGTGGTCTGAGTAAGCTTTGTGGCCTTATTGTGGGCATCATTTATCCATAAAATAATTTTAGCTTTAATTTGAGAACTCTAGTACTTGATTTTTCCTTGTAACCATAAAGCATCATTTTATGCTGTGATGAAAAATCATTCCAATGGTAGAGGTTCAATTTAATAAAAACTTAAAACAGTGTAAATTGTAATGTGGATGCATTGCATCAGCTTATCAAATTTATCCTCCCAGTGTTCTTTTTATGAAGAAAGCGTAACTTGCTTACATGTTGTGTTTAATGTATTTGTAATGTTCTTCTGATATGAAGATCCTCCATTGAACATTTGCTTGTACCTGGTTGGACTGCATACTGGATCCTGCTTGTCTAAGCGAAAGCATACATGATTAATAACTTACGGTTCTAACTCACCAATCAGTTCTTTTTCATTATTTATTATGATTTATTGGAAAACATTTCCATAAACTGAAAGAAAAGAAAGAAATGCATTCACAATTTAATCATCCAAACTGAATTTTCTTCCTTTTTTTCAATTTTATTTTTATTTTTTGAGAACAGGGTCTTGCTCTGTCACTCAGGTTTTCATACAGTGGTGTGACCATGGCTTACTGCAGCCTCAAACTCTTGGGCCCAAGCATTCCTCCTGCCTCAGCCCTCTGAATAGTTGGGACTACAGCCATGTGCCTTTTTTTATATTTAAAAAAAATTAAGGCCTGGCGCGGTGGCTCATGTCTGTAATCCCAGCACTTTGGGAGGCCGAGGTGGGGCGGATCACGAGGTCAAGAGATCGAGATCATCCTGGCTAACATGGTGAAACCCCCATCTGTATTAAAAATACAAAAATTAGCTGGGCTTGGTGGTGCATGCCTGTAGTCCCAGCTACTTGGGAGGCTGAGACAGAAGAATTGCTTGACTCCAGGAGGTGTAGGTTGCAGTGAGCCGAGATCGCACCATCGCACTCCACCCTGGGAAACACAGTGAGACTCCGTCTCAAAAAAAAAAAAAGAAATTAAAACATATATATGTTAATATATGGGAAGGACAAGTACTGCTCTCCTACGTGCATATATTGTGTAGTGGTAAGTCTGGGCTTCTAGTGCACCCATCACCTGAATCGTGAACAGCCAGTCAATTCTTATCCTGGTTCCTTCACCTCCTGAGTTGTGATTTTGAGAATCTGTGGTGTATTGATTGAGATAGCGGTTTAAGAGAAAGAGAAAAAAAGAAAACAGATGGAGGATGAAAAAATAAAGCAATACAGATATACACAGAACAGGACCAAGTTAGAGGCAAAATATAGCATCCAACTTGAATAAAACAAAGTAATCGCTACTTTGTGGATAAGGAGAAACCTGTGTTTGGGAATATTTTATACTAATTCAGTTTTATATTTGCTTATCTTTAATATTAATTTGAGACAACTATTATTTTTCTGTTCTTTAATTTTTTTATCAGCAAACTGAATGGTAAGTTAGAAATGAATGTATGAGAGTCAGAGAAATCTGGATTTTAATCCTTAGCGTGAAAATTTTATAACTCTGTGACTTTGGAAAAGGAATCTAACTTCTCTGTTTATCCTGTTCACACGAGTGATAGTAATAATCCTTACTATAGATGACCACAGGAATTATAGATACAGCTCCCAGGGCAATGCGTATCAGAGTAAGCTGTGTCTCCTTACATTTTCAGAGCTGTTATTGTTGCTCAATAAATGGCAGCTGTTGTTATCTGTGTTTTTGTTGTTGTTGTTGTTTTTGAGACGGAGTCTCGCTCTGTCGCCAGGTCTGGAGGGCAGTGGTGTGATCTTGGCTAACTGCAACCTCTGCCTCCTGGGTTCAAACTATTCTCCAGCCTCAGCCTCCTGAGTAGCTGGGATTACAGGCTTGTGCCGCTGCGTCTGGCTACTTTTTGTATTTTTAGTAGAGATGGGGTTTCACTATGTTGGCCAGGCTGAACTCAAACTCCTGACCTCAGGTGATCCGCCCACCTCGGCCTCCCAGAGTGCTGGGATTACAGGCGTGAGCCACCGCACCCGGCCACTATCTCTGGTTTTTTAAAATGTATTAAACATGAGGAGTAATGACAGTGTTTCTTGATGACTGGGGAACTTGCAGTAGAAAGTTGACAAATACTGTTTCTATGAAAGAAACTGGAGCCTCCTAAGGTAAGCTGGGTCTGGATGCTTGATGAAGATGATGCTGCTGACTGCTCTTCCTCTTTCTGTGCAGAATGTGCCCCCAGACCTCTCCATCTGCACCTTTGTGCTGGAGCAGTCCCTCTCTGTCCGGGCGCTGCAGGAGATGCTGGCTAACACCGTGGAGAAATCAGAAGGGGCAAGTACCCAATTTATGTAGACTTGTAGTATTTTAATGAGCTCAGCTACTATAGGAACAATTTCTTTCACAGGTGTCAGAGATTTTCTTTTTGCTAAAATAAGTCCATGCCTTTCAGTTGGAATGTCCTTAGGTTTGACTTTCTGCTTTATCTAGCATATTTGTGGTGTCTTGAAAACTAAAAAAATATATCCAAGCTTGATGTGATCTGTGTCACTAGGCCTCGTGCTTATGTCTGTTGTTTAAAACCGACCTTTCTTTGAGCGTTTCTGTGTTTCATTACATTTTCAGAGCTGTTATTGTTATTATTTTAACTCATAGCTTTATGCATGGCTATTTGTCATTAACCTTTATTTCATTTTCAAATGTCTGTCACTATGTGACTATGTTCTGAGCTTTTTCATGGAAAGTAAAATTTCATGGCACTGTTATATATTTTAAGTAACCAAATTTTGGTGATATGGCTTTAGGCTATTGTAATTTTGCAAACAGCTAATCCTTCTCCTCTGAAAATTGAAATTTTTCTTTTCTTTTTTTTGAGATGGAGTCTGGCTCTGTCACCCAGGCTGGAGTGCAGTGGCGCGATCTCAGCTCACTGCAAGCTCTGCCTCCCGGGTTCATGCCATTCTCCTGCCTCAGCCTCCTGAGTAGCTGGGACTACAGGCTCCTGCCACCACCACACCTGGCTATTTTTTTTTTTTTTTTCTATTTTTAGTAGAGACGGGGTTTCACCATGTTGGCCAGGATGGTCTTGACCTCCTGACCTCGTGATCTGCCCACCTTGGCCTCCCAAAGTGCTGGGATTACAGGCGTGAGCCACCGCGCCCAGCCCTGAAATTGTTATGTGGTTTCCTAATGCAAGTATTTTTCTTTCAAAGCCTATTTGGTTATTTTATTTTCAATGAGACTTCCTGTGACTGATATCTGGGCTGTTACCCAGTCTTAACCAATTTATTAAAGTTTAGAATTAAGCAGGAGGATTAATGGTCAAATTTTTTGTTTCCAGGTTTTTTAATTTTTATTTTTTGGTATGGTAATTACTGCAGTGTATGGTTTAATAAAGTGTAGTATTTCCAGAGAGAAAACTGAAAATTTTATTTTGCCATTATTGATCTATATGTTGCTGTTGTTATTAATCATTACTCTGGTCTGGATAAATAAAGAGATTAAAAAATGGTAATATATAAATGATTATCCATAGAAAGGAGTGATCAGTTATAACGTTATTTTCATCAGCCTTGTAGTTTTTAAAATTTTAGTGTCATGCAGCTTATGACTTTAGTTGATTTGTGCATTAATTCTAAATTAAATTTCAGCAGTGTACTATTAAGTAGGGAAGAGAAACTTTAGTGACTTTTGATATTAGACTAGAAGCTTATTTTACAAAAGCTTAGTATTTTAGTTTTTCAGGTTCATTTTTTGTTTACAACAAAGTTTGAAATTATTAAAATATATAAAGTTTCTTTTAAAAATTTCTATTCTTTCATGTAAACCTTCTCAGTTATGCTTAAGTTATGAAAGAGTAAAACAATTCTCAATTTAGTTTCATTTCTACCTGAAATAACCCCTCCTGATTTTTAAACATCCCTGAGTCATATCAACTTTGATATGCAAATCAGCTTTTATAAAGAAAGATCATTTTTATTTGGCATTAGCATTTAAAAAATGCATCTTGCCATTTCATCTGTCTTTATAGATAACAACTTAGAACTAAATTGCCATAAATTTAATTTTTTTATTGTTAAGTTGCGTTTTTTAAATTTAACAACTTTGAGAAGATCTTTTATCTTCTTCAAATCATGAGGTTGGGCTGGGCAAATTCTAAAGTTTCTTGAAATATAGGAAGTAATTTGAAATACTGTTTTAGGATTTATGGTTTTTTTGAGATGGGGTCTTGCTATATGGCCCAGGCTGGTCTTGAGCTCCTGAGCTCAAACAATCCTCCTGCCTCAGTCTCTGGAATATCTAGGATTACAGATGCATGCCACAGTGTACCCAGCTTCTAGGATTTATGTTTTCAAGACATTTATTAGTTAGAATTTCTGGATCTCCTCAAGTATTTTTATTTAGCTGAATTTAGTTTTGAATTGTTCACTCTCTAGAATGTCTCCATCACAGATAAAGTAGTAATTTGTGTGATGTGTTGAACACTATTTTATAAAGCGCAGTATAGTTACCATAAGACATGAATTAGGAAGTATAATTTGAGGAAAAACTGCTACAAGGAATAAACACATTGCATGAAGCTGAAACCTATTTCTGGTTATTAGTAACTTTTAGAAAGAAACCAATGTCAAATAGCTCAACGGGGTACCGTATATTAGGGAAAAATGAAAGTTTCTCTCATACTGCTGAGTATTTTTGATTATACCCAGAAATGATATTCATTCCTAGCTTGCCACAGGTGATGCCAGTTAATGAGCACAGCCCCAGCCACAGCGTTGGAGGAGGAGTTCTGGAGGCCTCTATTGTATTTATGGATTTGGAGGTAGCCCGAGCAACGGGGGGTGTCCTGGAGGACCCCTGGGGTGGTCAGGGTTAGGGAGCACTGTGGGGACTTGCGGCAGCAACTGTTTACCAAGAAGGATAGATATTTTCCACTTAACCATTTTATTCATAAGGATGTGCACCAGCTAGATATCATGTCTGATGATATGTGACTCATGGATGCTGCTGGCACTTGTAGGAACCAAGTCTTCTGAACTCCAAATATCATCTTTTCTAGTGCCTTATAATGTCCCCTTTACACTCATTATGGAACTCTAATGGGGAATTTTTTTATCAATCAAATTACTATCTCCAGGTTAATAAATCATGTGTAGTTTGCTTAAATGAAGAGCCACTTTTCCTAGGATGAAGTGTGTCAGGAAGGTAATGTGAATTTTCAAGAAATCATTTCTTTCCTTTCAGATGAACAGTGAGTCAAAAAGAACCTCGTGTTGCCCTGATTCCCAACTCTTTCATAATCAACTTTCTTTACGAAGCCCTGTTCTTTTTTATTTAATAATTCTTCTTTAATTTCTTACGTAATTCAGTAAATTAAACAATACTTATACTATTTCATGTCCAAAATGTTATATGCACATAGCAATACAAACACACTTGATGATAAGGAAAATTTTTCCATTTAGAACCATGCCTTTGTTTTTTGTGGTTAAGGACCATTTTGCTAGTATTCTTGGGTCATGAATAAATACATGGTTTTCATAAAATGGTTAAGGAAACTTAGCAGAAAACTCCCAATGTCATTTGTGACAAAGTAAATCATGAACATTACGATAACAGAAGAAGATGTGTAAGATGAAATGGGAGAAAATATTACCTAATGTATGAAGTTTTGGTTCCCTAAAAAGTTGCTTATTGTGACTATTAGTAAAATAACTCATATTTTTGTGGCACCAAAATCATTCTGAAGGATTTCATCTAAGTGGATTTTCTAAAATGTCTGTTTAATTAAAATATATATATATATATATATGTTAAAAGAGAGACCTAGATCCAGTATTTATATAATTACATTGACTATCATTTAGCTTTTATTCTTATTAAAATCATGTCAATAGTAAATAGGCCAAGACCTGTCTATCTCAGTAGCTGCCCACAGAAGCTTTCAGATCTTGAGGATGGAGACAGTACACAGGCAACGAGAAGGAGAAGGTGTCTGTTGAGCAGCAACCATCTCTTTGGCCCCGTTTTCTCTGGGCGTCTGCCTATGCACATTCTGGCTTCTGCTGTTCTTTCTATTTCCCCCACTGGGTTTTCTGTGGTTCTGGATAACTTGTCGCTTGCAGATCTACCTCTGTATTGCTCTTCTTGCTCTTCAGATCTATTTTGCGTATGGATGATATAGCATAGGGTTAAAAACAGGGGTTTATTGTCTTAGAGAACTGCTTGAGAATACCAGTTCTGCCATAGTTAGCTCTGTGGCTTTGGGAAAGATAACTTTATCATCAAGGCTTAGTAATTATTAAATGATGGTGCATGTTATTATTGTTTTATTTATTCTTTTTTGTATACTTTTAAACTCCCTGGGTTGGACTGCTATTAATTCCTGACTGCCTTTTCTCTGGGCTTGATGGCTTTCTTCCTTCTCTGGGACATAGCCAGTCCAGTTCCCACTTCCTCCCCTCGACCCCAGTATTCTCATCAATCCTGGCACATGTAGTTTGCCGATTTAATGATGCCGCAGCAGTGTTAGAATAGAGAGTTGATGATAGCATTTGCTTGTTTCCATGTGTTTTGTAGTTAATAAAGTTTCATAATTTAAGTAATATTGTGCTTTTGGCTATTCCTTTTATCTTAATTCACAAAATTATGATAGACACTTTTCTCTCACACAACTTTATTTGTAATGCCAAAGTTAATTTAAGGATTTCATCTCCTATGAGCACAGATATCAAGTGAGAGGTGACGTAGTATAGTAGAAAGGGCTTTGGTTTTGGAGTCCAGGAAATTTACTGAAAGTTCTTTTTCAAATAATATTTATAATAATTATCATCTGTTGAAAAGGCGTTGCTTTGGTTTAATGCCATGAGTCCAATATATGGCTTGTATATTCTGTTGAGGACAGCGTATTTTAAAATACACGTTGAGTGTCCTTTCTGTCTTTCGGGTGAATTATTTCTGGGGGGATTGTAGGACCCTGTCCTTTTCAACTTTAGCTTATGGCCACTTGACTGGGTCCCTTTATTATTAGAATATTGTAGATTGAACTAGAGAAAAAATTAAAATTAATCATTCTTTGCTCCTTACATCGTGCTCTTTGATGGAGTAATAGATTAACATTTATAATTCAGGTGATTATGATTTGGATCATTCATTCATTTGCTATATAATCCTCATGATCGTGGGTATTGGTAGTTTACCGCTATGTAAGTTATGGATGATACTTTAAAAATCTATAAAATTCACAATGTAATGTTATAAATATTGTGATGAGCAAATAATATTGAAATGAATATTAAATAAATCCAATTCTAATCATTTGGTGCTTTTTCAACATTTATAAGGTAACTTATATCTTATAAAGGTTCTATGTATAGAAATTTAAGTGTTTTTTTGTCATCAATGAGTTTACAACTGCAGGGATAGAAAAACAATTATAGTATAATTTCATGTATGTTATAGAAGTATATATAATTATCATGTTGGCATGAAGAAGGAATTGTGTACGTGGAACTTGTTGTTCCTTTACATTTTCTTGGCACTTTTTAGAATCATTTCCAAAACTATTAGAAGTAATATTAAAACTATTAATAGAAAAATCATTTCAAAATTTTTTCCAAGGAACAATTTGAGCTCATTAGGCAATTCCTTAAAATTTTAATAGAAAATAATACTTGTCAGGAAGACAATCCAAAACATGTCCAGAGATATTCTTAAAATGATTTTTATGTTTCAGTTTAGTAAAATGGCTTATTGTTTTATAAGAAACTGTAATGATGTTTCCTCTTTCTAAATTATGTACTGTCTTCAAAGTACAAAATATTACAATGACTTAATTATTAACAGAGGTATAGATCAGACTCAGACATGTCCAGCTTTTATGAAAAATGGAGCTGTAGAATGTGGAGTAGTAAAAAACTTGTGTTGGCTGGGCACGGTGGCTCACGCCTGTAATCCCAGCACTTTGGGAGGCCGAGGTGGGTGGATCACTTGAGGTCAGGAGTTTGAGACCAGCCTGGCCAATGTGGAGAAACCCCGTCTCTTATGAAAAATACAAAAATTAGCTGGGTGTGGTGGCGCACACCTGTAATCCCAGCTACTCGGGAGGCTGAAGCAAGAGAATCGCTTGAACCCAGGAGATGGAGGTTGTAGAGAGCAGAGATTGCACCACTGTTCTCCAGCCTGGGCAACAAAGTGAGACTCCATCTCTAAATAAATAAATAAATTAATTAATTAATTAAATAAAACACTTGTGTCATTCTTTTTATAAAACCCCTATCTCTTTAAGACATGTACTCTAAGAACATTCAAAAATGCATGGGGCTGGGCACGGTGGCTCACACCTGTCATCCCAGCAATTTGGGAGGCTGAGGCATGTGGATCACTTGAGGTCAGGAATTCGAGACCAGCCTAGCCAACATGTTGAAACCCCATCTCTACTAAAACCACAAAAAATTAGCCAGACGTGGTGACACGTGCCTGTAATCCCAGCTACTTGGGAGGCTGAGGCACGAGAATCACTTGAACCCGGGAGGCGGATTTTGCAGTGAGCCCAGATCGTGCCACTGCACTCCAGCCTGGGCAACAGAGCGAGTATCCATCTCAAAAAAAAAAAAAAAAAAATGCAGTGGGAAGCAACTGGCTAAATTTACTGGTAAATAAATTAAAAAAATACATTTGTGAAGCACTGAAGCCCCATAAATTACTTTTTAAAAGTACATTTATCAAACACTGAAGCTCCAATTTCACACAAGTAATTGCATCTAAGATCATTTTATATAAATGCAAGAGCAAAAGATGAAGAAGATCTGTGTATTATCTCATAGTGGTTAAAGCTCATAGATTATAGTACAAACTCCCTGAGTTCATTTCCTGGTAACATAAGTGACTTAACCTTTCTGTGCCTCAATTTTCTCATTTATAATGTGGGGAAAATAATAGCATCTCCCTTTGTTGTGGGAATCAAATAATATAAGTAAAGTGTGTAGAACAATCGTGGCATGCAAGAAGCACTATGAGTATGCTGTCATCATTGTGATGGTCTCTGCATTGAGTATGCCTGAGTAAGCTCCTATCAGATCTGATCCTTCTGAAGAAAATAACTATAATCTCTGGACAAAATACAAAAACAAAACTACACCCACAATAATAAAACCTTCAATTACCTGAAGCCCCTAGCTATAGTTGCTCTATGGCCGCCTTTACAAGTTACCGCTAAGTTGGTGGCTTAAAACAACATACATTTATTATTTTCTAGCGTTAGAGGTCACAAGTCTAAAATCAATCTCCATTGGCTAAAATCAGGGTGTTGGCAGCACTGCATTGCTTCCAGGGACTCTAGGGAAAAATCTGTTTCCTTGCCTTTTCTAGCCTGCATTCTTGGCTTGTGACCCATCCTCCACCCTCAAAGCCAGCAGTGACCTACCATGTCACATCGTCACAGGTGCCAGGGATTAGGATGTGGATGGTTCCGGTGTGCCATTATGTGGGCTACCCTATCATGGATGTGCTGAGCTCGAGTAAGATGTTATTGACAAGATCAAATGGAAGTCAGAACAATCTAGTTGAAAAATGACTGAAAAGTCTACTTTTTGATTTGACAGGAGCCTGATTTTCTTGCAAACCGATCAATAGGAATTTCAGTCTGTCTTATGTACATACCAATTTATAGATTCACATACATTTTGTATTTAACGGGCTTCATTCTCTGAAGGTTTTCTGAGTTTCCAGTAGTTAATCACATGATTTAGAATTTAAATTTAAGTATATTTTCATATTGCATGCATAGTAGACACTAATTACTTTTAACAATAACATTAATCAAAAATAACTAAAAAAATGAGGATATATATAAATGCAATTTGTTGAGTTCCTATCGTATTCCAGACAGGCATCTTCCTAAGCCATGAATACAAAATAGTGAGTGTGGTATTATTTTTCTTTGTTAATAGCAGCCTGTTCAGTCTTTGGCTATAGTCTCTTCTGTGTCAGGTAACAGTATTTGAAGTATGGTCACAGTTCCAACAGTAGATCTTCATATTTCTTTTACATCCTCATTCTTCTGGTATTATGGTATCTGCTCAGAGGCACTACATCGTAAAGCCTTTTTTGTTCAAGCTTTAGGGCAGATAGATCAAGGATCAAAATGAAAAGAGTTAATGTTGTGTCCACGCTAGTTGAGTTTTATATTAATGATTTCTTTCCATTAAAGCACATTGGGGTAATGTGGAGGAAAAGGAGTTGATGAATTTTGTAGTTCATATGATATAAATTGTGTTCTGTATATTATTAAAAGTAAATTTCTCAAATGGCAGGGCTAATGACTCACTGGAAAAAAATGAGGTTTAACACTTGATGTTCATCCATTTTCAAATATGCTCTGTATGAGTCTCCATTAAGTCTCTGTATAAGTCTTCTGTATTTTAATTCTGTAAAATACAGAATTAAACTCCATTAAAATACAGAATTAGTATGTAAAACTGTGACCATACTTTAAATAGTGTAAATGTAGAGATACCTGCCACTGAAGAGACTATAGCCAAAGAATGAACAGGCTCCTATTAACAAAGAAAAATAATACCACACTCATCATGTTTTATTTGTGTTTCAGGAAGATGCCTGCTTGGAATATGATAAGAACTCAACAAATTGAGCATTTATATATATCTTCATTTGTTTATTTAGTTATTTTTAATTAATGCTATTGTTAAAAGTAATTAGTGTCTATTATGCATGCAATATGCAAATATACTTAAATTTAAATTCTAAATCATTGAAATGTTTTATTTTTATAACAGTAATATATGAGTATAAAATAAAAATGCCCTCTTCATAGTCCTCATTCCCCCCTAAGATAACCACAGCTAAAAGATTAGTATATAGCCATCTATAACTTTATACATAAAAATATTATTATATAAATGGAATCATATACTGTCTTGTCATCTTTTACCACCTAATTATATATGGTTTTTAAAAAATCAGGACACAAAATGTCCAGAGGAAGAGAAGATTCAGATTTAGTTGATCCAAGCTCTAGGTGAGATTTCTGTAGTTCTCTTTGCCCTGTTCTGTGTTTGCTTGGTTCACAGGCTAGCTTCCCTCATGATTACAGGATACCTTGTAGGAATTTCAGGGATGATATCCAAAGGCAACATCATCTATAGGCACAAAAAGGAGCTGACTTTCTTTATTTCTAAAAGCAAGGCACTTTCCCCAGGAATTCCCTGGCAGAATTTCCCTCATACCCATTGTCACACACCCATAGCTAATTTATTTACTCGCAAGAGAAAATGGGGCCAGCACAACTGGCTCCGACCATGGGGATGGCAATAGGGAAGGATACTTTGAAGAACTAGGTTCTTTTATTGGGAGAAGGAAGAGAACTGCATGTGAAAATGAAGGTCAGATAATTTCTAACATTGTCTGCTACATCATATAGCAGATACATAGTTAGCATCTGTATGCTTTCACTGGAAATGTTTATATTTGGGACCCTCCATGTTCTTGAGCCAAACTAGGACCAACAAGTAAAATCTTTGCCTATGAAAACAAATCCAACTCTGTGCTCAGGTGTCTCCATGACCAAGAAATAGAAAGCGCATGTCCATTCTCCACCTGTCTCATTCGTACAGTGTTCATTCAACAAAAATAGATTGAGTTGCTTTTGTGCATTCTGGAGCTAGGGGGACAGGTATGAATAACAATGCCTCCTTGCTCTTGAGAATCTTAGCAATCTAATAATAAAGAGAGAAGATAAATATAATGTGGTATGAATCTGCTTTCATAGTAAATAGTTCAATCAGAGAGCAGAGAAGAGATCTAATTACCTACCCAACACTCTCCCCTTGTACGTCCTCATAACTGTGAAATGCTGAATGGATTAGTGTGTGTTTATATTGTAGACAATACGATGCTACTAGCTATTTATATCTGAAACTTCTATTCTCAAATATCTAGTCTAACTTAACCTTATTTTAAGAGGCTGTGTTCTGTTACCTACCTATTGAAGAACATCCTTGGTAAAGCATAAATAGTACTTCAATAATTAGATTATAATGCCAATAAATTCACAAATTTACTAATTAATGTAATATTTAGCCAGCATCTTGTCCAAAGCCTCTGTATATAAATATTTACCTACCTGTCATCTGCAAAATTGATGCAGTGATGTAATGGTGAATGTGATTATAATCTCTTGAAGGGTTCATAGCTAAAAATATTCACTGAGCAACAATTATCCATCTGTCACTTAGGTGAATGTGGAAATTTGTCTGTGGTTGAAAGATGCATCTTTCAGTTTTACTGCCTTTCTGTTTCTAGAAAGACAACTTTCTACTCAGAAGCCAAGGATATTCCATATTTCTAAGTATTTGAATGACGTGGTTTCCAGACTCTGTCATCAAACTCAATAAAGACGTCAATTTAAGCAGGATGTAATTTAATCACAGTGGCGTAGTTAGGCACTGTTTTAGATTATGAATCTTAAATGTATAGATTATTTTATTTGATTAGTCTCATTCAATTTGGACATCTTCCTCAGCTATTTGTGTGTGTTTATAATAGAAAAAATTTTCATTTGTAAACATATGATAGCAAATAAATGACATGGCATATTTCTGATTCAATCTTAATAAACTATTCTGCAATTTATGAGTGACTTAAAGATATGTGGAACCTATTGAGTCAGCCATTCTCAAACATTTTTCTTTTTTGAGATAGAGTCTCATTCTGTCACCCAGGCTGGAGTGCAATGGTGCAATATCCTCCCCAAAAAACAAACACAAAAGCAAAAACAACAATTAACACTCCTTCCTGCATTTTTTTGGTGTGTTTTCTTCAAAGCACTGAACACCTTCTGAAGACTATGTATTCGCGGTCTGTTTATTGCCTTCCTATCCCCATTAGAGTGTAAATCTCAGGAATGCAGGTCTTTGGGTCTGTGGTATTCGCTTGCTATACCACTAACATCCAAGACAATGCATGTTATGTACTAGGTAGTAAGGAAATATTTGCTGACTGGAGGGACTGCAAGATGGAATTTATAGACCAAAATCAAGGGGCTGAAAAGTACCAAAAATTCTGTTTCTGCTACTGTAGTAACAGTTTTGAACATATGATAGAGCTTTTTTGTCTGTTAAATACAGCTGTTTTTGAATTGCCTCTCTATTGTGGGAGAAAAGGAATGTTTTTGAAAGGAAAAGTCAGAAAATAACCTTTTGGGTTCGGTAATCCTCCATCCTCATTTGCCTGACACAGTCCAGGTTAATACCTGTGGTCACAGCATAATCACTATTAGTTCCCCCTTTCGTTGTCCAAAGTGTCCCAGTCTGGATGAGAAATTACATGGTTATCCCTAGTCATGGTGTCTTTGTGAATCAGATAAAACTTATAGAATCTATTTACAGAAGGCAATACAAATAATATGCACGCATACAAAATCTTGTATTTCATCTCTGATTTGAAGACTTAAAAGAAGTCTTCCTTTTTGTTGAGTTAAATAACTTCCTTTTTTTTTTTTGAGTTAATTCTTGCTCTGTTATCCATGCTGGAGTGCAGTGGTATGATCATAGCTCTCTGCAGCCTCCAATGCTGGGTCTCAAGGGATCTTCCTGCCTCCTGAGTAGCCAGGACCACAGGCACAAGCCACCATGCCTGGCTAATTAATTTTTTTTTTTTTTTTTTTTGGTAAAGATAGGTTCTTGGTATATTGCCCAGGCTGTCCTTGAACTCCTGACCTTAAGTGATCCTCCCACCTTAACCTCCCAAAATGTTGGGATTACAGGTGTGAGCCACCTCACCCCACTCATACAACCTCTTTAGTGATTGTTGCAGTCACACATTCTGAGAAGATACACTTTTTTGCAAGTAATCCCTGAAGTGTGAGAGAAGGGCAAAGACCAGCAGGATCTACATAACTTGAGGATTACAGAGACCAGATGGAACATTCTGAGAGTGAGCATGAGGTCAGTACTCGTAGTACAAACTGATTACTTTCATGTGGCTTCTGAGATCAGGCCACATGTGACCCATGACTTCCTGGTGAAGCATTAAGTCTTAAGACCACGTGGAACTGTAGAAGGGTCCTTTGCTGGAACCAGAAACCTTAGAACTGTCCTTAGACCACTGAAAAAAGTACAAAGAGCAGCGCAGCAAGAACACACAGAATGGGCCTAATATTGCCGCGCACTGATTTCCATAGCCCTGGAAAATGTGAGCCATATGTGAGACAAGAAGAACATATTGAAAGCCTTGCAGTATCTGACAAAAGAGAAAAGTAGGCCAGGCGCTGTGGCCCACGCCTGTAATGCAAGCACTTTGGGAGTCTGAGGTGGGAGGATCACTTGAGCCCAGGAGTTTGAGACCAGCTTGGGCAACGTGGTGACACTGTCTCTACAAAAGATAAAAAAAATTAGCTGGACATGGTGGCTAATAGCCATAGCCAGCATACCTATAGACCCAGCTACTTCAGAGGCTGAGGTGGTGGGATTGCTTGAGCTTGGGAGATCGAGGCTGCGGTGAGCTGTGTTTGTGCCACTACACTCCAACCTGGGTGACAGAGCGAGATGCTGTCTCAAAAAAAAAAAGCATCCCAAATCTCACACAACAATGAATGAGATTGGACAATGCAAAGATAAAGCTAAATGAAAGTTAAATAACACGAGAGATCACAGAAGAAACAGCAGCTAAACCAGCAAAATTAAATACTTCATAAGCTGGTGTTAATTGCATTTGTTCACTCTATTGATATATGATGAGTAACCACGTTCTAGATTCTGTGTAGAGTAAATAGTGAGAGCGAGCTGAATTGCTACAGAGGCCTCTTCCAGAATAGGACATAAATGGAGCGTGTGCATTGTAGTGTATAAACACTCAATAAGTGATTTTTTTTTTCAGATGAAGAAATAGAAACAATGTACCAAGGTCAGCGATTAAAAATAGTGATTATCTTTACACAGTCATGGACTGGAAGTTTTGTTTCTAATAGTTTCCAGAATAGAAGTATTTGTGTGAATGACAATTATATGACATGTAAGGAAATTAATTATATCATTTATTGATTCTTGAGGTACAGGCTCTAAAGCTCCAGCATGGATTTGATGTGGATGGTACTAATGATACAGATATTTAAGTTTTGTTGATTTGTATGTAGTTTCCCCATAAGAGGTTTTTTGTTTTTTTTTTTTTTTTGAGACAGAGTTTACTTCTCATTGCTCAGGCTGGAGTGCTATGGCATGGTCTTGGCTCACTGCAACCTCTGCCTCCTGGTTTAAAGCGATTCTCCTGCCTCAGCCTCCCAAGTAGCTGGGATTGCAGGCACCCACCACCACGCCTGGCTAATTTTTGTGTATTTTTAGTACAGATGGGGTTTCTCCATGTTGGCCAGGCTGGTCTCGAACTCCTTACCTCAGGTAATCCGCCGGCCTTGGCCTCCCAAAGTGCTGGGATTACAGGCGTGAGCCACCACGCCTGGCCCCCATAAGGGGTTTTTAGTTCCTCGGGAAACTATTCAAGCATTGGTTAGGAAGAAATATGTGCAGCTGGGTGAATCCAGCTAATGATCGGATTATTCTCATGGCGTTTTGCCGGGGGCTGCCTTGATGATGTCTTCTTGGATCTAGGTCTTTAACTTGTCTGTAACTATTGCACGCTGTCCCTCCAGCAGACCGTTCCTAATTTAACTGCTATCCTGTGACCTCAGTTCTTACAAAGGAATCTAAAACTGTAACCTTTCTTTATTTCTGGCTCCAATTAGTTCTTTATACTATTCGTTCTCTATCCAAACTGAACTCACTCCCTGAATATGCTACACTTAATTCAGGTATATATTCTCCACATTCTTACTACACTAATTCCTCAACCTAGAATTCTGAGCCTTTCAAAAGTTTACCACCCCTCGCTTCTCTGCAAATGTCCAAGGAGTTGTCTTCCTTAAACACTTTCATGAAGCTCCCAGCCAGAAGTAATATTTCTACTCGTAGAGTTCCTTATCACTGGGTGTTCACATTTTCTTATTTTTGTCTCTCATTTTATATAGTGATTATTTGGTATGTATTTTATACATTTTATTTACATTAGAATATGGTTTTGTTCAATGTCCATTCTTTAACCAACACCACATTGTCTTGATTACTAGTAGCTTTATAGTAAGTCTTTTTTATTTATTTATTTATTTTTTGAGACAGAGTCTCGCTCTGTCACTGGGCTGGAGTGCAGTGGCACCATCTTGGTTCACTGCAACCAACCTCTGCCTCCCGGATTCAAGCAGTTCTCCTGCCTCAGCCTCCTGAGTAGCTGGGACTACAGGTGCGCACCACCACACCCAGCTAATTTTTGTATTTTTAGTAGAGACGGGGTTTCACCTTGTTGGCCAGGATGGAATCCATCTCCCGACCTCGTGATCCGCCCACTTCGGACTCCCAAAGTGCTGGGATTACATGTGTGAGCCACTGCGCCCAGCCTGTAGTAAGTTTTGAAGTTACATAATGTCTGTCTCTGACTTTGTTCTTCTCCAATGTTGTGATTATTGTGGGTCTTTTGCCTTCCCATATAAATTTTAAAATCAGTTTGTAAAAATCTACAAAATAACTTGCTGAGATTTTGATTGGGATGCACTGACTTGTTAGAATGTGTAAAAATTTTTCTGTATTCCTCTGTGTACCTGCCAGTTTTTCATAGTATATAGATCTAAAATGTAAGACTTTATTATATGAAATTTATTATTCATAATAGATCTAAGCCCAGGAGGTCAAGGCTGAAGTGAGTGCTACTATATTCCAGCCTGGGTGAAAGAGAGAGACTCTGCCAAAAAATAAAAAATAAAAAATAAAAAATAAAAAAAAATATATATATGTACTATGTACATATCCTGAGGATTTGAACAAATTCAGAAAACACTGAAACAGTATTACATGAGCTGGAATTTATTTAAGAGTAGTAATCAACTTGATTTTTTTCTATTAATTTTAGCTAAGCAAAAGTTCCATCATTATTCATGACTGATGATTTCTTTCCTTATATTTATTGTGATGACTTTTTAATCATACATTTAAACTAATACACATTCCTAGAGGTGGTACTCTAAGCTGAATATTTTCTAACAAAGTCTATCTATTATTATGTCTAATACCACATTTATCACTGTATTTTAGAAATGTTTAATATTAAGATTAGTCCCCCTCATTCTTTTCCCCTGACCCCCAAATTGTTCTTATTCTTCTTGACTATTTATCTCCCAAATGAAATTACTTGTGGTATTTAATTTAACTTAGTAATTCTGATAAGTAGCCTCCATGGAAGAGACTTACTGTATTATTTACTTAGCACCCATCCATCCACTTGAATTTGTTAACATTAAGGTTTATGCAACAGCCACTTTAACGTATTCTGTACTTAGAGAAAGGAGATATTGATAATTTTGAGTTAGTGCATATCCAGGCTGGGTGCGGTGGCTCATACCTATAATCCCAGTACTTTGGGAGGCTGAGGTGGGCAGATCACTTGAGCCCAGGAGTTCGAGACCAGCCTGGGCAACATGGCGAGACTCTGTCTCTACAAAAAAATAAAATAATTAGCCAGGTGTGGTGCAACGTGCCTGTAGTCCCAGCTACCTGGAAGGCTGAGAGGTGGGAAGATTGCTTGAGCCCGGGAGGTCAAAGCTAAAGTGAGTGCTACTACTGCCACTATACTCCGGCCTGGGCAAAGTGAGAGGGTCTACCTCAAAAAAAAAAAAAAAAAGTGCATATCCTGAGGATTTGAACAAATTCAGAAAACATTGAAATAGTATTACATGAACTGTTCCTATTCTAAAGTAAGATTAATTTAGGAAGTAGTAGCTCTTAGTTCTTTATTACCTAGTTTAAATTTTAAAAGAAAGCATTTATACTTAAGAATAAAATTTCTAAACCCTTTCCTTGTATTGAGTTGTATGTGTGTTAGTGTATGAGATTGCTGAGTTTATTGTACTGAGTCGGCTTCATTGTATGACAGATCTAAAAAAACTGGGAGAGTTCTGCCTAATACTGCAAAACCAGAGTAAAGTTAGGAAATTGGGCTAATGTTTAATTAAGTCAATCACTGGCCTTACTTTTGTGCTTCATTTGCTCAATTACACTTATGGTAAATTTCTTTCTCGAACTGATGGAGAAAAGACTTTGTGATCTCATGCCGTTAAAGTACATAATCCCATATGATATTACAGTATGGAGAGATGCTTTTCTTTTTATTTATAATTCTCCCACATTAATGTCATGTCTGTCTGTTCTAATTTAGTGCTTTGTATTTTTCATTTTAAAAGTACCTGGTCTGCTCCTGTGAACATTTAGGTAGATACCTCAGTTTGAGGTCCTGTGAGTCTGTGATTCTATTATTTGTAAACATGTATGAAAATGGAAAAGAGGTTGGGCATGGTGGCTCACACCTATAATCCTAGCACTTTGGGAGGCAGGAGGATTGCTTGAAGCTGAGAGTTTGAGAGCAGCCTGGGCAACAAAGAGAGACCCCTGTCTCTACAAAAAATTTAAAAAACTAGCTGGACGTGGTGGTGCGCACCTGTAGTCCCAGCTACTCAGGAGGCTGAGGTGGGAGGATCACTAGAACCTGGGAGTTCCAGGCTGCACTGAGCTATGATTGTACCACCCTGGGCACCAAAGTGAGACCCCGTCTCAAAAACAAACAAACAGAAAAAACAGAGAGGGAAAAATAAAGAAAAATACATATGTATAATAATAGGTTCTCAATATATATTAGTTTCTTTCCCTTTCTACTTTCGGGATGAATTCACTGCTTGTTGAAATGTAATTGACTGATCTAAATGCTGATGTTTTAATGAAAAGTATATAATGTGGATTTCATTTAATTCTGTCCTAAATGACAGTTTGACGACATACTTAACAAATCCCTAGGCACCAAGGATTTGGGGTTTTGTTGGGAAGAAAACATCTAGGCCAGAAACGATGTACTTTTACCTTGTTTTGAATCTTTTATTGTTTGGATCAGACCTCGTTTAAAAATGTAGAGGAAAAATTTAATAGTTCCATTTCTACCTGGAAATACTACCTAGAAATAGTATTAGTCTATTAGTAGACTAATACTCCAGCTGTGGGAAAAACAAAAAACAAGCAAAACACCCAAACCTCCCCCAAACCAGAAGTTTTAAAAGGATTAAATTTAAAGGATTTAATCAGAATATATTAAATTTAAAAGGAAATATGATTGAGGCATTAGAAACTTCTGAGGTAGCGAGGACTTGAAGAGACCTAAATCCCAGCAGTAAGAGAAGTGCACTGAGGTAGGTCTAACATTTTTTATACCACTTTTCCCTTTGGGGCATTTGCTGAGTATTCATTTGGGCAGAGATTAAGGCAGAGGAGCCTGCAAAGTTTATGTAATCTCTGGCCTGACAACGTAGGCAGAATTTGAGGATACAAGATCTTGAAGGAAAAAGAGAAATAAGGCTTACACTCTGAAGAGGCTTTCCCCTTGAGGTATTTCTCTGTTGGTGGTGACGTTTTTATTATTATTATTACGAGACAGGGTCTCATTGTCCAGGCTGGATTCGAACTCCTGGGCTCAAGCAATCCTCTCTCAAGTAGCTTGGATAACTGGCATGCACCACTATTCCAGATCATTTTTCTGTTATTAGCCTTTGGGAAACAAGCTCAGAAGCTTAGCAGAAAGCAGATCAAAAGCTCAGCAGTATAGTAAGATGTGACTATCGATTCTATGAAACAATACTAATAATGTCTCATGAGGCCTAATCTTGTGCTGGGGGGCCAAAAATTGTATTTCAGTGGTTGCTAAGGAGGAGGGGTTTTGATAATCATTCCAGGCTCTCAGTTGGAATCCTTGGAAGTTATGATTACTAGGAGAGAGGGTGAACTAAAGTCTTGCTAAGTCTGAAAACCTGCCTTCAATCTACTCAGCTCACATTGAATTGGTGTTATCTGCCCATCATCTAGCTGCCAGCCGTAGGTACATCTTTTCTGGAGGAAGAAACAGAATTAGCTTGTATACAAATTTTAACACAGTATCTGATGTGCAGTCAAACGTGTTATTAGGCATGTAAGGAGTCAGGATCAAGAGAAAAAAGATCTGACAGTAGAAATAGACCCATAAGTGATCCAGATATTGGAATTATCAGTCACAGACCTTAAAACAATTGGGGAATCTACAATGAAAAAAATCAAATGGAAATTCGAACACTGAAAACCACAGTAAGTAAAGTAAGAACTCAGAAGATTAGTTTAACAGCAGCTGGGACATAGTTGAAGAAAGGATTCATGAACTGAAAAATAGATTAGTTGAAAATATCCAGACTGGCCTATGTGGAGAAAAGAACATTAAGAATAAAGGGAAAAAATCATAAAAGATGCATTAACTGTAGTAATAAAATCTAACATGCGAGTAACTGGATTCCCAAACTGTGATGGATTTGGAGCTACAATAGTGAGATTCAAGATTACTGTCAATCCTAAGGAATATTAATACTTATAAAACCACACTGGGTTACCATAGTAAAAATGCTGAAAACTAGAAAAATAAAAAATCTTAAAAGTAACTGGAGGAGGGAACAAAATTTAAAAGCTGTAATAAGACTGATACCTGATGACACATTAGAAAAAGTTGAATCAGAAGACAAAGGCATGATATCTTTAATGTTGTGAGGAAAAATAATCACTAACTCTGTATTATAGCCAGATAAAAGTATACTTCAAAAGTGAGAGTGAAGTAAAGACATTTCCAGACGCATACAAATTGAGATAATTTAGATACAGGAGATGGGGTTCTTCAGGCAGAAAGGAAATGATACCAGACTGAAAAGAGTAAATGCAGGAGGGAAAGAAGACTAAGTAAATATATGGCCAAATGTAAATTAATGCTAACTATACAAAATAATCGTATTAATGCCTTGTGGGGTTTAAAATATATGTGCAATTAAAATGCATAACGATAATAACTCAAAAGGTGGAAGAGTATAAAATTGTCAACCATGTTCAAAGATCCTTTTTCTGGAACAAGGTGAAGTTACTAATTTATACTTATAATGAAAGAGTTAATCACAATGGAAGATTATTAAATGTCATGGATGCCCATGCAACCTCTAGGGTACTAACCAAAAGAATAAGAAAGAATAACCAACAACTTTCCAGAGGGAAAAATGCAATATCAAGATATTTGATTAATGTAAAGGAAGGAAGAAAGGAGGGAAAAGAAGTAACATATGGGCTGAATCTGTTCTTAAATTAGATTATGGTGATGGTTCATAGCTGTGTAACTATACCAAAAAGCATTGAAATTGTGTACCTTAAATAAATGAACTTTATGATATGTAAATTATATTTCCATAAAGCTATATAAAGAGAACATGAGACCAATATAATACAAATAATATGAAAATATGATAAATATAACTAATAAATATAAACTCATATTTTAAGAATAAAACTAAATGTTAATTGACTAAATACTTCAATCAAAATTCATGGATTGTCAGATTTTATTAACTGCAATTGTATGCTGCTCACCAGAGATATACTTTAAGACTGTCTTACAGAAAGAGTAAAAGCTATAGGATGGTAAAGTTGTATGTGTGGTAAAGTTGAATCTAAAGAAAGCTGGTATAACTATGTTAATATCTGAGAAAAGGGCTGGGCGCTGTGGCTCATGCCTGTAATCCCAGTACTTTGGGAGGTGAGTGGATCCCTTGAGGTCAGGAGTTCAAGACTAGCCTGACCAACGTGGGGAAACTCTGTCTCTGCTAAAAATACAAAAAATTAGCCAAGCATGGTGGTGTGTGCCTGCAATCCCAGCTACTCGGGAGGCTGAGGCAGGAGAATAGCTTCAATCCAGGAGGCAGAGGTTGCAGTGAGCTGAGATCGCACCACTGTACTCCAGCCTGGGTGACAAAAGTAAGACTCTGTCTCAAAAAAAAAAAAAAAAAAAAAAAAAAAAAAAATATATATATATATATATATATATATATATATCTCTGACCTCTGAGAAAGAATTTAGGGCAGAAAGTATTGCGAGAAATCAAGATGGACATTTCCCTATGTTAAAAAAAGTCAGTTTATAAGAAAAATAAAATAATTCTGAATTTACATGAATCTAATGATATAGCTTTCAAGCTTATAAAAACAAAAATTGACAAAATTATCAGGAGATCTCAATCAACAATCAATGTATAAGACCATCCTTCTCACAGTATTACAATAATCAGGCAAATAAATGAATGAGGATATAGAAATCTGAACAGTATGATTAATTAACATATGTATTGACATTTATAGAACACAGCACCATATGCTGAGAAAGTACACATTTGTTTCAAGTGCAGATGGAGCATTTACCAAAATTGATTATGGAGGAAGTATAAGCAAATTTCAAAGGTTTGAAATAAGAGTGTATTCCTTTCTCATCACATAATTCAGTAAGAAATAAGTAACAAAAGGAATTGCAAATCCATAAGCCTATGAATCAACGAGTTAATCAAAATGGCAAATTATAAGATATTTTAAATTGGATAATAGTGGAAAACATGGATACAGTTAAAACTGTGGATACAGTTAAAACTGATTAGAGGAAGTTATTCGGCCCTAAATACATAAGAAGAACTGAATAATCAGTTATCTAAATATCTCAAGAAGACAAAAAGAAAATATTAAACCTGGAAAATGTAGAAAGAAGAAATTATGAAGTAGAATTTATGTAGAAAGCAGAATTTATGAAGTAGAAAGAAATATAAATCATTCAAGCCAATAGCTGGATTTTTGAAATGACTAATTGATGAGCCCTTGGAAAGACTGAATACGAAAAAGAGAGAATATAAAATTAACAATATTAGAAATGAAAATAGGAAATCACTGCAGAACCTCCAAACAATGAAAAGATAATAAGAGAATACTGTGACTAGCTTTGTTCCAAAGAAATTAAAACATTCTAGAAACAATATAGTGTTAGCGAAATACAGTTTACCAACCCTAACACTAGAAGTGGGAAATATCAACTGTCTTATATTTATTAAATGAAATGAATTTATAATTAAAGCCTTCTCACAAAGAAGTCCAGGCCCAGATGGCCTCACTGGTTAATTCCACCAAACATATAAGGAAACAATAATACCAATCTTAAACTCTTTCATAATACTTCCCAACTGATTTTATGAGGCCAACATAACCCTGATCCTAAACTATGACAAAGACCATGCAAAAAAAAAAAAAAAAAAAAAAAAGGTATAGACTAATATTTATCAGGGACTGTAGGTGTAGAAATCCTCCACAAAATATTAAAATATTGGGAAATCCATCCCATTGACATATCAACTCAATAGCCTATTACAACCAAGTTGGGATTCAAAACCAATTATTGTCACTTACCTTATTAAGATAAAAAAATATTTATTTTAACAGATACTATAAAACATTTTTAAATATTAAACACCTATTCATTGTAATATTAGTAAGTCGGCATGTAAGAAAAGTTACTTAAACTGATAGAAATTATCTATCAAATGCAAAACTGGTGAAATATTGAATTCTTTCAAGGCAGTGTTGAATAAAGTTGGGGAAAGTGGATACTTTTGGAATTAAAAATGAGCTTGGCAAAGTCACAGCTCACTATAAAAATTCAGTTATATCAGTTATATTTTTATATTCTAGTAAAAAGCAATTACAAAATAAAAATAAGTGATTTCACTTATATTAGTATAATGAAACAACACATACCTAGGAATAACTCTAATACAAGATGTGTAAACCTTTACACAGAAAATTGAGAAACATTTTGAGAAAAATAAAGATGACCTTAAAAAAAGGATAAATATACCATGTTCATATATTGGGAGGCTCAATATTACAAAGATGACAGTTCTCTTCCAATTGATCAGGTAGATCAATGCAATCTCAATCAAAATCCCAGCAGGTTTTCTTTTAGTGTGCATGAAAGTTGGAAAAGCCAGTTCTAAATGAAGAAGAGCAAGATTATCAAATACAACTTTGAAGAAAAGAACAAGGTTAGAGTCTTTGACTCCTGGATATCAAGACTTATTTTAATGTTACAATAAGACCGTTGGGTATTAGGACAAAGACAGAAAAATAGAGCAGGATAGAGTTCATAAGTAGATCTGTACATTTGTGTCTTGATGCATTAGTAAGTGACAATGCAGTGCTAATGGGGAAAAGATTTATTTTTTAATAAATGGTCATTTGGATAGGTATACAAGGGTGGGTGAGGAGACAACTCTTAACTCCCTCCCTACCATCTTACATAAAAAATCAATACCAGGTATGTCGCAACTTTCATGGGAAAGGCAAAATAATGAACTTTCTAGAAAATTTAGTAGCTTTAGTAGCTTCGTGTCATTTTATTTTGTTGTTGAAGATTTGCGTGTGATACATTTATATGTCATTTGTTTTCTAGTATGTAAAATGCAGATAATAAGATTACATGTAAAATGTATGGCTCAAAGCCTGCCACATGGTAACTGCTTTAACTTAACAGAATTATCCATCTTAAACAGTAAAATAAAGTTAATCAATTTGAAAGAAGCAAGCAAACTTTTTTTAAAAAAGTTTATGGAATAGTTCATGTTTATGTGCCCTAAATTTGTAATTAAAATATGAATGCACGAGATGGGTGGATCACTTGAGGTCAGGAGTTCGAGATCAGCCTGGCCAACATGGTGAAACACCATCTCTACTAAAAATACAAAAATTAGCCGGGTGTGGTGGCGGGCACCTGTAATCCCAGCTATCCAGGAAACTGAGACAGGAGAATCGCTTGAACCCAGGAGGCGGAGGTTACAGTGAGCCGAGATTTCACCACTGCATTCCAGCCTGGGTGACAGAGTGAGACTCCGTCTCAAGAAAAAAAAAAAAAAAAAAAAGAATGCAAAAATAGAGATGTCATTTGAATTATCTGACTTTCATATAGTGATATAATTTAAAAATAATTACTTTTATATTAGATTCTTATGTCCTCTCTGCTAAATCAAGTTGGTGTTTAAATAACTGTTGTTTCTTTTAAGGGAAATTTTGTTTTTATTTTGAAATTTTGAAATGAAATTGCTCTTTTTATTAGTGTTAATATGATAGATATTTAATGTAATTTCCTGCAGATATTAAAATAGTCATTTTCTTTAATAAAATCCACATATATTTTTAAAATTCCACATACTTGATTCAAGTTTTTGGAAAAAATGTTCCTTTGTCTTATATGTTTTATGGGTTTGTAATTGCGTAAATTCTAAAATTGGTTAAGTTTACTGTGAATTTTATATTTCCTTGTCTTGATTAGCTCCATTTGAATCATTCTCCTTTTCACCGTTTGCAGGAATTTAAATGATTCTTGTCAACAAGAACAAGAGACGTGTCATGAAATCGTTCTGCATTGCTTATGCATAATTACAACTTTATTGTATGTTAGTCAGTCTTTTAACCCTGTGGACCATTTGTCTTGTCTTGTGTGTCTAGCTGATAATTCACTCCCAGCAATGCTGTTGCTAAGCTTTTCTTTGGGTATTTGGATATTCTGTTTGTTACATTATTGCTCCTAATTCTTGCGCCTTGAAGAACTGTGTCTTTTGTAATATAGAACATTAAAGAGCTCCTGTTACTATCATTAGTAACTATGACTCTTGATTATAAATTCTTTCTTCTGAAAAAATCCCATAACTTTATCTTTGCACTGATGGGAGTGTGTGTGTGTGTGTGTGTATGCATGTGTGAATGTCTGACATGCAGAAGTGAACCTGATAATGGCAAAATACAATGTCTTTGATAATCGTTGATAGCACTAAAAATATGCACTAAATATGCACTAAAATAGCACCAAAAATATGGCATATTCTATTTTCCTGATAAATATTAAAAGGAAGTCATTTAATTTTTTTAGATTTTTTTGGGGAAGAGAATAAATATAAAAATTCGCCCTTTTAGAGGTAGAAAAGTGCACAATTGCACTGTGCTGGACATGCCTTTTTTGCTTCTGTTTGCCCCAGGATCTAAAGGAATGGATTCATCACTCCGATAAGTTAATGTTTAAAAGGAGATCTTCAGCTTTATCTAACAAGAAAATATCTTGAAAAATGTATAGTGAAAATCAGGCCTTTCTGTTCAGTCAAGTGTTTTTCTTAAATAACAACAGTGTGTTTGTAAAATGCAAAGGAGGAAGTAAGTTTAGAACAGATTTTTCTGAAAACTAAGTAAATTACAAAAGAAGGCAAAATGCTCTGTTACAAGTAACCTATTGGATTTCATTAGGGCTTCATAAAATTCTGCCTGTTTATTTAGGCTCATATTTTAAATATCACTTTATAACATTTTTGAAATAATCACTCTGTATGTTGCTTTTTATGCATATTGCTTCCCAAAAGCTTGCTTGCCAGAGCATTGGAGATTCCTAGCTAATAGCCCAAGATTTCTGCCTAAGTAGCATTAGCTTCTTACCTAATTAATGAGTTTTCTAAGGAAAAAAAATTACAAATAAACTTTCATACATGAAGGGTGTGAAGCAAGCCACAATTCCCACAGGACACCAATTATACATTCTATAGATGGGAGGTGAGTTAAGGAAACTTACCTTTGAGATTGAGTATGTCTCTCAATGTTGAAATTTTTTATTCTGATTTATTTGCAAGGAATCCTAGGGCGTTGTAGAGACAGTCTTTGTTGACATATGGCTTTTTTGTTTGTTCTGTTTACAGTGTGGGTATGATTATAGTCACTTAAGTTTTAAAGAGCCACATAATGATTAAGAGACTAACATTCACTTATAAATACAACTTTAAAAAATAATTTGATTCCCACATAACTTCAGAACTATTTGTTAAGGCATGCCTTTATATTGTGAAATTGTATGAAATGCTAGAAAGATTAGAGTAAGAGAAATTTTACTTTAAGTGTCATGAGAGAAACTGTAGTTAGACACTATGTCTCTAAATTGATCTTTTTAATTAAATCAGTTTTTATAATTAGAGGAGAGTAGTAGTTCTTAAATCAGAAGGCCTATTACGTTTGAGAATTAGAGAAATGTTCATGTTTGCTTTTAAATAAATTGGATTATCATTATTTTATGTACCTGGTGCATTTCCAGCCTAATGTCTTTTTGAGTTCTGATTGCTAAATTAACTGAATTCTTTTTGTTTGGTGAGATTAAATGTTGTTAATGAAAAACTTGAATACAATTTTTTATGCTTTAGAATTGGAAGTAGATTGTGGTGCAAGGACCAAATTGATATCAATTCATTTAAATGACAGTAATTGAAACATTGCTAGGTATTTGTTTGTTTGTTATTTATTTTGGCTTTTTCTTTCCACAGCAAGTTGATGTGGAAAAATGGGTATGTGTTTCCATGTATTTGCAAAGAAATTGTGATCTAAAAGTGCATGCTTGCTCTCGCCTCTAATCTTTCATTTTGCTTCCTAGTGTGGCTTGTACTATTAGTGTTCAAACTAACTGCTTCGTTGTAATGAACACATGTTTTACAGGTCTCTAATGAGAACCTTATGTTTCTGGTTTTGCTTCATCTGAAATGGGGCATATTAAAGTACTTTCCATCCCTAGAACCACATAGTTTTTATATAATTTATTTTGTAATTATTATGTGCTTCTGGCCAACAGAAAGGTGTTTATTATTCATACTGTCTGTATATCTTCTGCAAAAAAAAACAAAAAACAAAAACCTTGACTGTTTAATCTCAAAATTCCACTGCTTAGTCCTTATATTTCTGCATGTACTGTAGAAGAAGACAATTATATATATAGTCATAGAAAGTCATAGAACCTTTTTTTTTTTTTGGTATAGATGGAGTCTCACTATGTTGCCCAGGCTGGTCTTGAACTCCTGGACTCAAGTGATCCTTCTGCCTCAGCCTCCCAAAGTGCTGGGATTACACACAGGAGCCACTATGCCCAGCCTTATATAATCTGAAGCAGTGAAGGTGAATGACCATGTAGAAAAACGCAGTTACAGGATTCTGGAGGCTAATTCTTAGAGCCCACATTGTCACAAGTTGTGCAAAAAGTTACATTGCTTCTTTTGGTCTCGGTTTCCTTATCTGTTAGGAAAAAATAAAGGAGAGAGGAAATACACCAAGGTACCTTCCAATACTTAACACACCAGGATTCTGAATGGAAATTAAAGTCTCCTCAAGACTGATATTCCTACTCCACTTTCTCCCAAGAGTGCAAAACAGTGAGGCTTTTCATTATTGAAATGTTTTTGTATTTGCTCTGTGACTTATATGAAGAATCCTTTAAGATTGACTTAACTGATGGCTTTATTTTATCTTCATTATTTTTCTGGTTTTAGGATCCAACTTTCTTGATGCAATATTTTGAGAATTTTGCCATCTTTTCAGTGCCCTTTCAGTAGTGTTTTCCAACAATTTCATGTTCTCTTGTCTTTTTTTTTAAATTTTTTTTAGCCCTTTAAAGACAAGGAAACTTGTTTTTTAATTTACCATTTCTGATGACCTTTGAAAACTATGACTTGTATGTTATATTGCTGAGAATAATTTGAAGTCTTCATTTCTCTTTATAACCGAACTACTACTACTTTTGACCAACTATTTGTTTTTGAAATTTCCTACCTTCCTCTTTGGCTATAGTTAAAATGCTGATCCAAGATTCACATTTTTCTTGTCTTGGTAAGGGAAGCCTGCTTCCTTCTCAGAACACGTATGACACCTCTTTGTCCTGCACTTCCCTAATATCAGCATCCTACAACATAGCCCTCTGTCTTTTCCCATCCTTGCATCCCTTCACTTCCATTACACTATTTCTGTGCCATATCTGGATTGGTATTGACCAACCACTCAAGCTGCTTTTACTTACTTTGTAAATAGCACTTGCCAGTAAATAAAATCACCTTTTCACCATTGTCTAAAAGTCTTCCCTTCAGTTCCTCTGTGGATTTGGTTACTTTTGATCTGCCTGTGTAATTTTTTTCTTTCTTATTCCTATAATAATTTATTTTTATTTGTATTAAGTTTATTTGTAAATCATTGCAGTAGAGATTGCCTTCTAGTTCTAAGGAAATATCTCTGATATTTTCTGAGCTAAAAACCTTGAGGCTTAGTTTGCCAAGTGACTGGCTTTATAATCTTATGTAGCCTCTTTATTGGCCGTAATCTCTTTGTCTGTAGGACTAGAATCTGCTTTACTCCTTTTTTCTTAAGTATTACTATCATGTCAGTGCTAAAACATATTGATGCCAAAATACATGTTCATTTGGAAGTCATATAATAAAAAGATTCTGCTGGGTTTTAGAACACGGATGATCACTATGTGTAAATGTTGCAGCAAATTTTAGATTGGAGCTCTTTTTTTCTTTGAAGACCTATCCAGTTCATGTCTTATGCTTTGGCCATTAGAAGTTTGAAATTCTACTGTTACAGGTAGACTTTGAAGGCCAACAGAAAGTAATTTAACCCTCTACCCACCTAACCCAGGACTATTGAGACTCCTCTGTGGGGCTGGTACTTCTCTGCCCCTTGAGTTAAATTAGAACCGGTCCCTTGACCTTTCTCGTATTCCAAGAGTGAAATACCCCACAGACATTTCAAGTCATACAGATCTCATTTCAGTAATTAAAATGCCCAAATCTGTATAATAGGTGAACTTGAAGCTAATTCAAGTTAACTTGTCAGGAATCGAGCTGGAGGGACGGATATCTGGGAAGCTGTTTCTTGCTTGCCCCGCCGGGTTCCTCACGCCCTACTTGGTACCTGGAGAGTCTGCCACTCTCAGGTGCTGTGGGAAGGAGACAGAAGAGAAAGCTTGGCAGGAAAGGTCTGCTTTGATCATAGTGTCATGCACTGGGCTTGCCAGGTTTCTAATGCTGACTTTCTCTGTGGGCGCTTGGCATTGGTCTTTCGGGGAGCTTCTATCCCCAGAAAACTCTGACCTGAGCTTCTCTTGCTGCAGACAAATGCGTGTCCACTAGCTGGTCAGTGGCAATTCCTTACTCTTCCTGGGAGTTCTTGGTGGCCTCTGAGACAATCCCAAGCTGGATCTGTCTAGTATGGCCCCCATTTGCTTGTTGGCAGTGTGGTCACTTCCCAGTTGCAGCCCTGTAGGACTACACCCAGCCTTTTGCCTCTCAATCTCCAGGCATAGTAAGACACCAGTCTACAGTGTCCCAGCTCCCAGGGATATCAGGTATCCCTGAAGCTACCCTTGCTAGGCTTGAAGTGAGGGCAAGCTTGGGAGGCAGGCAGGATTCCAGGCCCACCTGCACTTCTCTCCAAGAAACCATTTCTTTGCTGCCTGGCCTCTAATAATACACTGGGGGTGGGCAGTCAGCTAAGGGCAGCCAGTGGATTTGCAGCCACCCTCTTTGACATCCCTGCTTAGGTGGCATAACAATATGTTTTGGGACGTGATAGTACAGGTGCTCCTCCAGTTAGGGTGAGGTTATATCCTGAAAAGCCCTTCAGAAGTTGAAAATATCGTAAGCCAAAAATGCATGTAATACACCTAACCTACAGAACATTATAGCTTAGCTTAGCCTCCCTTAAACGGGCTGAGAACACTTACATTAGCTTACAGTGGGGCAACATCATCTAACACAAAGCCTATTTTATACTAAAGTGTTGAATATCTCATGTAATTTATTGAATACTATACTGAAAGTAAAAAATACAATGATTGTATGGGTAATCAAAATACAGTTCCTGCTGAATGCAAATCACTTTCACATTGTCGTACAGTTGAAAAATCATAAATAGAACCATTGTTAAGTCAGGGACCTTCTTGTAAATCCCCTTCGGAGACTGGTCATTGTTTTGTTTTGGGACAGTGACCTGTTTTAACTTCTGTTATACTTGCTTGTCTAGGGTGCGTTTACCACCACCAGATTAAGACCTTTGGGAGCCTTACAAACTTAAATATATATGAAAATTAAAATGGCTTCTGTATAAATCTTCTGATAACATTATTCTGGATAGTTTCATCAAAGGTCCATCAATCACTTTCTCTTTCTTTCTCCTTTCTCCCTCCCCTCTCCATCCCCTTTTCCCTAATTCCCTTCCTGCCTTCATCTCCTTCCTTCTCTCCATCATCACTGTCTCTTTGAGCAGCTGTGCATCTGTTTAATCACAAGCCCACTGAGTTATCAAATGCTGCTCTTTACACTTTAAAAGAGAATAAAACTCCTGAGTACTGGATAAGAAAGTAACTAATGGTCATTTCCATCTACTCCACTCCTAGCCCTTTTCTAACCTATACCATTGGTTTCCAATGTGGAGGCCTAGGAATCAGGTCATGAGTGGGGTGAAGAAAGCAAAAGGATGAAATAGACTGTGAGATTGTTGTCTATGAAGCATTGTCTATAGACTGAGTGATGTCTTACACATGTATTTTCTCTTAAAAAATATGATGATGCTGTTGTAATTGTTAAAATCCATAATCATTTCAAATGTTTCTACCTGGAGAGTTGTTTAAAAATGCATTTTAACACACGACTGCTATTATGTGAGAACCTGCGAAATGCTTTCAAGCTATCAAGGTTCATTCATGTTTGAAATGGTTTTTAAAAATATATGGAGTCTTCTGTATTCTGACATGGGCAATTTTTTATGTGTAGGTGATGATCTGAATAGAGGGCAGGCTTTGTATGTCTTCAAGACATCAGTATCCATTTGCCCTCTGTAGAAATCAATGTGTTGCTTTTGATTTAGAGAAATTCTCTATCGAGACAAGCTGGGAAATGAAGAAAGCCCTAGATACCTCTTCTATTTCATGTTTTAGGCATTTATGCAGCTCTTTGCTTTATAAACCTGTCACAGAGATAAAGTGTGAGAACTTATAGTAGCTTATCGGAATCATTTATTTTTCTTTACCCTTCTAAAGAAGAACTACATAATTGTATGTACATATATATGTCAAATTTATTATACTCGAAAGAGAAGACATTCCATTTAACTACTGTCTGTACAGAGCTGTTTATAGGTTGAAAAAGAACTTGCTACAAATCTGCCGAAAAATAGAATGAATTCTTTTTAAACATATCTGCATCTCACATAACTAGATTCCAGTGATGGTCATTAATATGAGTGACACAAGGGCATTTCAATAGAATGTATTATTATGTGTATAATTGCTCATTCATGGACTGGTGGACAAGCCTCTTTCAGATGATTTCTGTACCTGTAATCAATATGTCTGTCTTTTCAGAGCATCTTGGACATTTTTAGCAGGGGAATCCTGGAAAGTGAAGCATTTCCATAGGATTTATATAGATATTTTTTAAGACAGGGTCTTGCTCTGTCACCCAAGCTGGAGCGTGGCTCAAGTGATAGTCCCACCTCAGCCTCCTGAGTAGCTGGGACTACAGGCATGTGCCACCATGCCTGGCTAACTTTTTAATTTTTTGTAGAGACAGTGTCTCACTATGGTGCCCAAGCTAGTCTTGCACTCCTGGGCTCAAGCAGATACTCCTGCCCTGGCCTCCCAAAGTGCTGGGATTACAGGCATGAGCCACTGCACCCAGACACATATTTTCATCATAAGAGCGATAGTTGAAGCTTTTCAACCTCATATGCTATTAGGTAGTATATATTGATATTTGGAACTCAGAATTGTTGTTAATTTTTTTATTCTAAAAATTATTGGGACTATCATTAATTAACTATAGCTACCTAGAAATCCTAGTCTTTGGTGGTGAAATCACTTTGTTTTCTCAACATAATGAAGTTTACCTGATATTTCCTCACAAAGGAGAGGTTACCGGTTGGAGACTTATGGAGAATCCTAGCATCTTGATACGTGGAGAGGAAAAGATGGCGAAAAGGCTTAAATTTGATGTATATTTTGTGTACAGAGTAGGGTATTTTGCCTCCTTAATGGAAACTTCACGCTAGAATGACTTCTGAGGCTATTCTGAAATTGTTGCATTTGATAATCCTTTTTAATGGCAAGCCTCCAAATGTATGGTGCTTTGTCACTAAATCCTTATCTATATAATTTTTGAGGAGACATTTCAATAACAGTTTCTTTTAAAAGTTCTAAGGTAGGTTTTTAGAAGCGTTCCTTTTTAAAAATCAGTTTTTAGCTCATGAAACTGAAATACCAGTTTTAAAAAGTCAAGGTTGAACTGAAAGGCATCATTATAATAGAGGAGCTTTGCTACATTACCTGAATTATTGTTTCCTTCTTTGCACCAAGAACAGATTAAATATGCATTCTCTTGATATCCAGTATTTGTTAGCAATTTTCAGAGTAAAGTATTGCTATTTGATTTGTTTTTCTATTCATAATCATTTGCATTTGCTAAGAGAGTGCCTTAGGTCTTTTAGATCTACTACACTGAGTGGCTCATGCTTACAGACGAAAGATGATTCTGCTTCTTTTTGTCATCCATTTGACACCCAGGGCCGTCTATGTGTTAAAATGTAGCAATAGCAATTTCTCTTCCTGGCTTCCATGTTAATGTGGCATGTGCCCCCAGGTTTTGCTTGTATTTGGAGCTCCATCTGATGTGTCAATTCCGGATTAATCTAAACCTGGGACACTGAGTTACTGACATCTGCAGTTTTAGCCTAAAGAACTAAAATTTCCACCTTTGTGTTTCTATGCAAATTAATCATCATCCAAAAAATTCTAAGACAGCACGTTGGAATCCATGCTGCGTGCCTGTCCTATAATTGCCCATATAGTCATCCCTTACTCTATTTTGTGTAATGAAATTTTAGCTCTTGTCTATTGAACTTCTCATTAGTGAAATAAATCAAATAGTTAATTTATTTGCTAAACTTATTGTAAGCACAAAAACGACATTCTCCACACCCAAAGAGGCTGCTTTCTTCAATATTTATCTTTATGTGTTTCTTTTTTCTACTTTCCATCATATCAATTTTTAAAGGGTTTTTGTTGTTATTCTTTTTCTGTTTGTTGCTTTTATCATACAGAAGCAGTGCTTACATTGAATTAAACTAATATACTCATCTTTTTTGTTTTAATGCGCTTTGCTTTCTTCTTTTCCCTTAAACGATCCCTTTGAATGTCTCCTGATGCTATAATTTTGGTAATATCTAGCACTTAAACCAATTTGAACAAGAAATGGTTTGTACAGAAAGTTATTGTCAATAATGCCACTAATACCACAAATCTTTCATGTTCTTGATTATCTTTTGAAAGTGATGTTTGTGTCTTACATCTGCTCTTCTTTCTCATTCTGCAGAAGGATATTTCAGCATTTGCTATTTTTCAGTATTCATTCTATTTTGTCGTGTATGCAGATTGCTCTCCTCTGTGTATTATTCTTCCTACAGTCAGACATGACTTAGCAATGCCGAATAGCAGACCTCGGTCACTTGGCTGACCACTCTTTTTTTTGTTAATACCTACTACATTTTTAAAGTGGTTCAACTTAGATACCTGACAAAATCAGGCTGAGAAAATTGTCTGAAGGAAAATCTCCCAAACCTAGCTTAATTAAAAAAAAAAAAATCTCATGAAGAAAGTATCTCTTCACAAACCATGTGCTGTACCAAAATGTTAGGTTTTTGTGTTTCTTTGAATTAAGGCTTAATAATGATTTTGCCTAATTCTTTAGTGATATCTCTACCATTAGTGAGTCACATGTGATTGGTCAGTTTAACATGGAAAGTAAGTTTCCTGATATTATGTATGATTAATATCAGTTATAAAAAGGTAACTAAACAGCCTGTATTTTCTAAGCCAAGGATGAAAGCTTCTTTACAATTTTTCCTTGAAATTGTAATATTGAAAATGAAAAAATTAGTCTCAACAGAATTTCCCTTTAATAATATACATATTACTATGTAAATATGTTTCAGGGAAAAATTGTAATATTTACAAATATATATATTGGAAAACTTTTCCTTGCTGTTTTTCTTACAACTAGTGTCTCTATGGTATCTTTTCTCCATAGGACTTAGACATCAACCTGACAACAAATTCAGCCCTAAGTTTGGAAATATATCATTGTTTTCTTTTTCATACTCTTTCATCTGTGTAACTCTCCTAGGAATAAGTAGTCAAAGAAACTTTAGAGGTGTAAAGAAAAATGAAGTTATTTGTAAATTTGCATATGCACACACATACGTACACATTATGTTTTGTAGAAGAAAAAAGAGCTATTATATAATTTATGAAAGGAGACTGTGTCATTTTAAGAGAAAAAGAAATGTTTTTGTGATTTTTCTGTGAAATTCACCTTTCACAATATTCAGTGTCTAAGAAATTGCTTACTGTTATTTTGCATGAAACGAGAGCCGCTCATTGCAGCATATTAGTTTACGATCTACCTTACCTGTTTTAATCTACTGTTTTTATTAAAATGAGTTGGGTTGCTGTTTGTTTTTATCACTGCATTTTTATGCAAAAGATGCAAGTTGGTTTTTTAAAAAGCATTTGCAGAGGATCAATTTTTAAGATGATACCTTTTTTGGTGCTTAAATAGGTTGTCAATGGAATCACTGAAAGTAGAGCAGCATGTTTTCACAGAAAAAGGAAGAAACTAACGTCAAAACATTTTTAAAGAGTTTTGCTTGCTACGGCTTTTCTCTAGCATGTAGTTGATACTAAGTTTTGTTGCGATAACATGGTGAATGTTTTTTTTTATGTTTATTGTTTACATAGCTCCATTTAGGATAACGGAGTCTTTATAAATAAGAGATATTTTTAAGGAAGTCTTTGAGATCGTGTCTATTTAATGTTTCCTCTCTTTTCCTTATGCCCCTACAGAAATTCATGATGAAGGTAAGACATCTTAATATATATGCTATGTATATATATAGCAGATATATTACTATATATGGATTATATATGTATGTATCTGCATATTAGTATAGCTGTATTATATATATGACAGATATATATATTACTATATATCAGCTATATATATGTGGTACTTTGTATGTTTTCTGTATGGTTATACACATTTGTTTTACTTTTGAATCCATGTAACTTTTCTTCACATGCTTTTAAAAGGTTTTTAAAAATCAAGCTTTGGAGCTTTTAAATTTAGATAAATCACGTTTAGATTTAACAACTCAACAAACAACATTTGACATTTTTGGGTCATATTGTAACATTATATTTAATTAGCTAACATTAAGAATTTCTCTTATTAAAACAATTTTAGTAGCTCTCCATTTAGAATATTCACTCTGGGGATTATGTTGACTTTGCATTTATGCCCTTTTGCATGAATACAATGGGAAATTCTTCCACTGGGAAATTAGGGGAGGCACCAAGAAACTACTTCTACTTACTCCAGGAGAAGTGAAAATAATTCAGCCAGCCCCTTATTCATTTCTCAACTAAATTGGAAAAGTGAAAATATTGTAAAAGTAGACAAATGAAAAGAGTAAAGCATGTGGACATGTCATCGAAGGAATATGTAAGGGACAGACAGGAAGAGTAGACTATGGTTATTTTAGGATATATAATAGAAAATTTTTGTTTCATTTTTGTATGCCCACTACCTTTCTCCTATAACATTTATGGGGTTTAATTTTTTTATCTTAAAAGCCAAGAAACAATGGGTAGGTAGAAAAATTGATTGATATTCCATTAATAAAGGCTTAAAAGAATTTATGATTTTGAAAGAAAGAGACTGTGAGAAATATTAAATCAAAATTCCAGATATAGATGGAAAAGATTGCTTTGAAGAAAAGGAAGCGCGTTCTTGTCAGTCTGTTGAATTTTGTGGTTAAATCCATCATGTTTAATAAAACTGAACCAGGTGCATTGTGGGACACCCTAACCTGGACCTGTTCACTACCAGTGCGAATTCGGCGTTTTGGATGGGATGACAGAACAGAGTATTTCTTTGAAGCCATCTATCAACCAGGACGTGGAACATCTTCCAGAATTTCAAATAACTCTAGCTCTTATTTTTCAGTAGAAAATATTATGATCACATTTTGAAGAGAGGACGTTAATCCCTAAATTAGACGTATCATGAAACAAGAGTTTGGGTTGGAAAAATATTTAAAACAACAGCAAAATAGGAATATTTCCTCTCTTTGCAAATACTGATAACTTATGATTTGGGGTTTGAGAAAATTTAGTTTTTCCTGCTAAATCTGCATTTGCTGTATTCATTTTATCATCTCATTCTTAATTCAACTGTACAATATTGTATGGACTTCCCCTTGGGAAGGGTGAATGAAATGGTCGCCTGAAACAGACATCTGAAGGTCTCTTGTGAGAACAAATGCATATAAAAACCAGTGCAAATAGAAAGATGATGTAGAATTAGTTAAAAGCAGGTGGTATGCCTAAAATAATTTAATTAGGCCCCCAGTTCTTTTAACTTCGAGGCCAGAAGGCCAATAGTTATTTTCACACTTGCAATGGATGATCTGGAAAGGTTAGAATTGGATTAAGGGGAGGGCATATGCATGCAATTACAGTAATTTAAGTCACGTAAACAGAAAAACATGCTGAATTTTATCTCGCTTTCACCTTTCAATCATCATGCTTTGCTTTGGGTTTCATACGGAAAAGGCATTAACTTCTTAGAACCAGATGGATGCTTTCTTGTTGTGGGAGCCTATTTCTGCTGGTTGGTGCTAAACAGTGATGCATTAGGACTGTCCTAAGCCTGATCTGTTCCCTGAGGAGACTTTCCATGAAGACACCATCCCAAGTAAGCCAGTCCATGTCAAATGGATGTCTTGACAATGTTAAACTGGCCTTTGCAGGCACCTTTATCTTCAACTGAGGCCAGGATTCTCATGGATTGTTACAGTCCTTCGGTGACCCTGTTGTGTGATTCACTACTTATTTTATTTTTTAAGAGACAGGGTTTTGCTCTGTTGCCCAGGCTGGAGTACAGTGGCATGAACATAGCTCACTGCAACCTGGAACTCCTGGGCTCCAGTGATCTTCTGGGCTCAGCCTCCTAGGTAGTTGGGATTACAAGCATGAGGCACTTTGCCTTGCTCTGGGCCAACTGTATTTAAAAAACACAGAGCCAAAAAACAAAAAAAGCAAACCAGAAAGAACAAAATATAGAGCCAGTAATTTTAATGTGTGTGTAAACCTCTTTAGTCACACACACACACACACACACACACACACACACACTGTATATATATATATATGAAATGTGTAGGCCAAGCTTTACGGTAAAAGGAGCACTTTCTGGTTAACTTCAAGACCTTGTCCTTCACTTTTAAAACATTTTGTTTTGACTAGTGTGGCTGTCAAGTGTTATTAAAGTTCACGTGGATTTTATAGCTTTGGAACATAAATCTGGTATGAAAAGGTGAGCTTCTATCAAAGTAATTCAAACCAGACAAAGTAAATAAAATTGTTCTTGGCCACAATAAATCAAATGCATTATAGAAAAAAAAGTGCTCTCTAAAGACAGCCTCATTCTCTGAAGGAGTATAGTTTTTCAAAGTAGATTTTTCCCTTTTCTTCTCAGTTATGTGAAAAAAGTGACTGTTTTGTTTTGTTTTTGTTTTTTTGTTTGTTTTTGTTTTCGAGATAGAATCTCGCTCTGTTGCCCAGGCTGGAGTGCAGCGGTGTGACCTCGGCTCACTGCAACCTCTGCCTCCCGGGTTCAAGCCATTCTTCTGTCTCAGCCTCCTGAAAGTAGCTGGGATTACAGGCGCCCGCCACCATGCCCAGCTAATTTTTGTATTTTTGTATTTTAGTTTCACAGTGTTGGCCAGGCTGGTCTTGAACTCCTGACCTCACACGATCCACCTGTCTTGGTCTCCCAAAGTTCTGGGATTACAAGCGTGAGCCACTGCGTCTGGCCCCCCAAAAAAAGTGGTTTTTCAGCAGTTTTTCTTATTTTAATACCTTTTAATATCTGTTTTTAGAATAGTTCTGAGTTTTTTCAAACAAAACATAAAGTTATTTTGAGAAACTATATGGAACAACAAGAATGTGATATTTGTTTAATAAAAAGGTTGTAATAATATTGGATATTAAAGCATCTTTCTGTACTTCTTAAGGCACAGGTCAGTATCATCACTCTTATTCTGAAAATTTTTAAAGACCTCCTTTTCCTGCAAAAAGAATTACAAACTTCTCGTCATAATATTTTGTACCTTCCATGGTCTTTCCCTGATCTAATTTTATAATTCCTGTGAAGTTTTTCTGTGCAACCCAACACTAAAATTCCATGATTGCTTCCTCCTTCTTACACACCTTGTGATTATATACCATGACCCCTTTATACATACTCCTTACTCAGCCTGAAGTGAGCTTCCCCATATCCAGTTTTTCATTTGACAGTTGTTTACTGAGTACTTACCATGGCCTGACCTCACGCTCATAGCTGGAGGTGAAATGATAATCAGGACAGCGTCATTGTCCTTCAGGAGTTTTCAGTCTGATCAAGGGGAGGAGGGTTCTTGTGTAGAGTGTAAGGCCAATGTACATGTGTATACCTAGGGCTGCAGGAGGATGGGGAGAGTGAGTAGCTTTGAGGAAACTGGATGAGGCTTCATAGAGAAGGTAGTCTTTAATCAGAGTTTTAAAAAGTAGAGGGAGAAAAAAATCTGAGTATAAATGGGGCTGTGCAATTCAAACCTGTGTCGTTAAAGAGTCACATGTACATAAAATATGTAAAAGTTTCATTCCATTCTTATAAAAACTTTATTAAATTATAACATCAATACATATTTATTCTATACAGTTTGGAAGTTACAGAAGAAAAATCCTTCAATTACACTAATAGAAAAAAACTACTGGAGGCTTTCCTATTAAAAAGGCTTTATAAGGCAGGGAAGACTAGAGAGAGGGAATGTTGTATTCCGAGATGGGGCAGCATGAAAGCAGTATGGCATATTCAGGGAAGGGAAAGTGGGTATGTTTGGAGCACAGGATGATTGAAGATGAGGCTAGAGATGAGTGAGACAAATGTCTCTCTGTGCTTCTCAAAGTAGTCTCTGGACCAACGGCATCAGCATCACCTGGAAAATTATTGAAATGAAACTTCTCTGTGTCTACCCCAGACCTACTGAATCAAAATCCCAGTGGTAAGGGCCAGGAATCTGTGTTTTTACAAGCTCTCCAATTTAAGAAGCACTCTTCTATTTCATGGAAAGGGATTGATTGGACTCTTCCCTATAAGCAATTGGGAGGAATGAGAAGTTTTTAAGCCTGGAGGCATTATGATCAATTTTGTGTTCTAGGAATACTCATTCGTTGAATCAACGTTTATTTATTTATTTATTTATTTATTTATTTATTTATTTATTAAGATAGAGTCCTGCTCTGTTGCCCAGGCTGGAGTGCAATGGTGCAATCTCAGCTCACTGCAACCTCCACCTCCCGGGTTCAAGCAGTTATCCTGCCTCAGCCTCCCGAGTAGCTGGGATTACAGGCAGGCATCACCACGCCCAGCTAATCTTTGTAGTTTTACTAGAGATGGGGTTTTGCCATGTTGGCCAGGTTGGTCTCGAACTCCTGACCTCAGGTAATCGCCCGCCTCGGCCTCCCAAAGTGCTGGGATTACAGGCATGAGCCACCACGCCTGGCCTGAATCAACATTTATTTAGTGCCTCTTGTATGTTCCGCATGCAGGTAGGCACCTGGAATACAATGGTGACTAAGGTACCATGGTTCCCACCCAGTGGAAACCATAATATAATGGGAAAGAGATTATTATTAAGTACATTATGAGTAAATAACTATAATTATGATAATTATTTACTGATACCAAGTTTATTTTTCAAGAACTAGATAAAATGCTAATCCCATAATAGAGGTTACATTAACTTTACTCCAATGTATACATTATTTCAACAGCACTTTGCTTGTCTGCAAGAGCTCTTAATACATTCTTTCCTACTAACGTTCCTTTGAGAGCAAGAGAGTATTTTATCAACTTGGTTAAGTTACTCTTTTGTGTTTTTCTCTCTTGTTCTCCTTTTTTCTCTTCTCTCTAAAGACTGCTCAAGGTGGTGGTCATCGAACACTCCTCTACGGACATGCCATATTGCTGCGCCATTCCTATAGTGGCATGGTGAGTAGGCATTTGATTTCATCTCCCTGTGGTCATGCTGATCCATTTGGGGGTACATGGTCTGCAAATGCTGGTAGCATCATTTCTGCAATGGTATTAATGAGCTTGGATGTTTGTGTTCTTTCATATCTTTGTACCCTTGTTAGTTTCTCATGTAAAAGATGAAAGTCAGCTCAGATGACTTTTAAGGTCCTTTAATTCTATCATTATATGATTACCATCTTCAGTATCTTACTTTTGATAGAGTAGTTTTAGGAGGAGAGAGGTGTAAGAGTCAAATAAGAGATATTTTCTTTTCTGATTTTGTTTTGAAGAGTTCATTTATTAGAGAAATAAGGTATCTTTATTGAAAGATCAGATTTAAGAAAATCTACCTGTGAGCTCCAATATTAATTGTACTCACCAACTTCTTTTTCTTCTTCACCAGGTTTCTCTTTTACCACATCTGCTCCTCCTTTCACCCAGTTATTCACTAGGCTTCTCTTGGGCACAGTTTTCTTATTCTTTGCCTCATGTATATATGCACATATATATGTGTATATATGTAAATGTTTTAAATATATATTTTATAAATACTTTAATGTATTCTTAGCTATTACATATACAGCTGACCCTTGAACAACACAGGAGTTAGGGGTGCCAATCTCCTTCACAGTAGGAAGTCACATATAACTTTTGATTCCCTCAAAAGATAACTATTAATATCCCCCTGTTGACCAGAAGCCTTACCAATACCAGTCAACACATATTTTTTGTATGTATTATATACTGTATTATAATAAAGTAAGCTAGAGAAAAAATATTAAGAATATCGAAAGAAAAAAATATTTTCTACACATAAAGTGGAAATGGATCATCATAAAGATTTTCATTCTCATTGTCTTCGTGTCAAATAGGCTAAGGAGGAGGAAGAGGAGGAACTGGTTTTGCTGTCTCAGGAATGGTAGAGGGGGAAGAACATCTTAGTAAGTGGGCCCGTGCAGTTGAAACCTGTGTTGTTCAAGGGTCAACTGTATATAAAATATGTTAAAAATATGCAAAAGTTTCATTCCATTTTTTTTTTTTTTTTTGAGACGGAGTCTGGTTCTGTTGCCCAGGCTGGAGTGCAGTGGCGCGATCTCGGCTCACTGCAAGCTCCGCCTCCCAGGTTCACGCCATTCTCCTGCCTCAGCCTCCTGAGTAGCTGGGACTACAGGTGCCCGCCACCACACCCAGCTAATTTTTTGTATTTTTAATAGAGACAGGGTTTCACCGTGTTAGCCAGGATGGTCTCGATCTCCTGACCTGGTGATCCGCCTGCCTCGGCCTTCCGGAGTGCTGGGATTACAGGCATGAGCCACCGCGCCCGGCCTCATTCCATTCTTATAAGAGCTTTATTAAATTATAAAAGCAATACATATTCTATACGATTTGGAAGTTGCAGAAGAAAAATTCTGATCACACTAATAGGAAAAAACTGTTGGAGGCTTTTAAAAAAAGTTTTAATCTCTTCTGTCCTTAAGGCTTTTTTTTTTTAAACATAATTGAGATGTTACTACGTTACCAAATTTATATCATTTTGTTTTTTGAGATAGGGTCTTGCTGTCACCCAGGCTGAGGTGCAGTGGTATGATCATGGCTAACTATAGCCTTGAACTCCGGGACTCAAGTGATTCTCTTGCTTCAACCTCCTGTGTAGCTAGGACTACAGGTGTGTGCTACCACGCCTGGCTAATTTTTAAATTTATTGTAGAGATGGGAGTCTCACCATCTTTCCTAAGCTGGTCTTGAGCTCCCAGGCTGAAACGATCCTCTCGCCTTGGCCTCCCAAAGTCCTGGGATTACAGGCATGAGCCACCATGCCCGGCATGATTTTCTTTTCCTTTTCTTGTAACATAAGCATTTTCCATGTTGTTTATATTGTCAACATAATTTTAGTGGCAACATGATAGTTCAATATCTAGAATATTATACAATATCTGTAATAATATACTTGATCATTCCTTTTAAAAAGTAGATGATTCCTGTATTATGTAAATTGTTCTAAAGCAGAAGACTACGTATCAATAACACTATCCAACTGGATTAAGAAAATGTGGCACATATACGCCATGGAATACTATGCAGCCATGAAAAAGGATGAGTTTATGTCCTTTGTAGGGACATGGATGAAGCTGGAAACCATCATTCTCAGCAAACTATCGCAAGGACAAAAAACCAAACACTGCATGTTCTCACTCATAGGTGGGAATTGAACAGTGAGAACACTTGGACACAGGAAGGGGAACATCACACACCGGGGCCTGTCGTGGGGTGGGGAGAGATGGGAGGGATAGCATTAGGAGATATACCTAATGTGAATGACAAGTTAATGGGTGCAGCACACCAACATGGCACATGGCACATGTATACGTATGTAACAAACCTGCACATTGGGCACATGTACCCTAGAACTTAAAGTATAATAAAAAATAAAAATAAAAAATACCACTATCCAACAAGGGCACACAAATTTTCAATCTCAATCATGGATATTTATGTGATAATTTGATTTTAATTGTCTATTTAATGAAATTCAAAAGTATAGGATGAGAAGTATAGGAAATACATGGACGTGATTTTAATGATGATTTAATAATATCATTTCTTTTAATGTGTTACATCACATGAATAGGTCAGATAAGAAAACTTGTGATCATGTTAGCAAGTGCTGGAAAAGGTTTTTAATAAAATTCAATGCTCATTCTTAATGAAAACTAAACATTGATTAATTCCTCAGTGATAAAGATTATCAGTGTCAGATCAATAGTGAATATTGTAATTGTGAAATGCTGAAGCCATTTTTTAAATCAAATTAACTAAAATAAGAATATGTTTTATCTACCATTGCTAACTAACATTGTTCTGGAAATTTTGGCTGACATGTCAAGATATAAAACAACATAAAACAGTTTCATAAAGTGGTTGGATGTAAGAAAAATATGTAAAAACAATTTGTATAGAGCAATCACATATTAAAATTTAATGAAAACAATTCCACATTCTACAGCAATCAAAACACATGAACTGCATGAGCTAATAAATGTGAGGGTTTCTTTTAAGACAACTACTCTCTATACATAATAGTTGGGTTAAGAGCCTCAACTTGGTTGTTAGATTTGGATTCAGTCTGTTTGCCACATGCTGGACAGCCTGGGATATTTTGCATAATCAAGCCTGTAATTACACCTGAAATTTTTATACATTCATTAAATAAATATTATTTGGCATCTACTATGTGCTAGGTACTGTTTTAGGTCCTGGATATAGTAGTGAATAAGACCAAGTTCTTGCTCTCTTTAATTAACACTTAGTAGAATAATCATAGTATCTACCTCAGAGTTACTAGAAACATTAAGGAGAAAGCATATGTTAATAGTTATAGGTACAGTGCCTAATACTGTACTTGTTATTGAAAAAATTACAAAAGACTTTAATAGGAATCACTTCATGTTTGTCTGGGAAGTCTGATTATTGCAAAGTTGTTACCTTTTTAAAAAATAAAGGCAGATGTTAAGCACAATTTATATTTAAAGTCTATAAACATAGGGGATTATCGTGGGCTACCTGTCTTGAGGTCAGACTGACATTTCTGCTGTGGCTAAAAACAAGTTTAGGGACCCTGGGAGCCTCTTGGCTATAACCTTGGGAGCCATTTCTTTGTAGTTAAGAGTCAGAATCAGAATCTGCAGGTCAATTTGATTTCACATCCCCATGGCACTGAATTCCACCTAACATACCAGCATATCTGCCACCGATTGGTTCATCTGCCTTCTCACACTCACAGACACACACCTAGCTGGATGGGCCCTGTACCATAATAAGACATTTCTAGCCTTTGCATTATTTTTCCAGTGATTCTAAAGGGGGCTTGCTGGCAGTGCACTTGCTTCGTGATGGTAGTGTACTTCGAGTTCCTACCACATTCGTCTTTGTATCTCTGTTCTTACAACACATTCATCTTTGTGTCTCTGTTCTTACAACACTTTGTGGCATGGGGGTTGGGGAGCAGTAGGCTTGAAAAATGATCCTAAACTTTATGTCCAAGAATATACAGTTAGGAACACGTAAGGGTGGGAAGAATAAGGAGATGATGGTGTTGCAAGAGTGATTACTCCTGTGGAAATGCACGTGTATGTAGACACACAATAAACCTCATTTTAGTGCAGTGACATGCTGTGCACCAAAATAAATTCTAGGTGGATTTCAAAGAGTTAAACATTTTTAAATGGAAACAAAACTAGAAGATAAAAGAGAATAGTCTTCAAATTTGTTTGGGAGAAAGATTTCTAACTGTCAGACTACATTGTACTTTTGCAGATGATCATGAATATCACATGAAGTGAGAGATGTACAAATACATCCCCAGTTACTTGTCTTCCTGTACTGACAGAGAACATTTCCTTTGTCTTTTATAAGGGAAGAAAAGACTACAATTCCTTTAGGATATTGCCCCTAATGCATGCTGTTCTGCCTCACAGACATTTAAAAATCTGGGCTTTGTGCAGAAGCATCCAGATTTTCAGGAAAACAGTGAGAACAGTAGGGATAGATGGATGCCAAATTACAGGTCAGAATAAGACTCTGCTGGTACAACTATAAACCTTAACGATGGCTGGTCACTGTGGCTCATGCCTATAATCCCGGCACCTTGGGAAGTGGAGGTGGGAGATTGCTTGAGTTTAGGAGTTTGAGATCACCTTGGGCAACATAGGGAGATCTCATCTCTATGGAAAAAAAAAAAAAATTAACCAGGTGTAGTGGTGCACACCTGTGGTCCCAGCTACTTGGGAACCTGAGGTAGGAGGATCACTTGAGTCTAGGAGTTCAAGGCCAGCCTGGGCAACATGGTGAAACCATATCTCTACAAAAAAGAAAATAATTAGCCAGGCATGGTGGCATGTGCCTGTAGTCCCAGCTGCTCAGGAGGCTGAGGTGGGATGACTGCTTGAGCCCAGGAGGTTGAGGCTGCAGTGAGCTGTGATCACGCCACTGCACTTCCAGCCTGAGCTACAGAGCAACCTTGTCTCAAACACAAACAACAGACGAACAAAACCTCTACTTACAACTACTGATTTTGTACTTTGTAGTATCTGTGCTGCCTGTCCACCTCCCGGTCTTCAACTGATAAGCTGGCTTTTGATGTTGGCTTGCAAGAGGACACCACAGGTAAGCATCTTGTGCTGCGGGAAGCCAGGTTCAGAGAGAACCCTGCAGGGGTTGGATTGGAAGAAGCCGGGAAATACGATACATGGGATGAATGTTCTTATGGATGGAGTCAGGAAAGAATGTTCTAATGAAAGTTTTTCCTAGAAGGGGAAAGTGTATATCATTCCTCTTGGTTATTCCCACATCATTAGTTGGATGTTCAAACTAGGCTTCAAACCTTATTCTTCTTGTAGGTTTGGATAGAAAATTAATATTTACTACATGATTTACTGGGTGTTAGCCATATTAATGTACACTAATTAGTTTGTGAAGTAATTCTACATGTCTCTCTCAAAAATGTTTTTAAGTCTGAAAATATAACATACTTGATGCCAACATTCAAATAAAAAGATAAAAAATGAAAGTCTCCTTAATTTCTCTGCCCACAGGGCATTATTCTACATACCTGTCCAAGCAGACATGCATTTTCAGATTTGTGAAACAAAAATGTATATATTAACACTTTTTTTTGGAGAATCAAAATAGGAGAACACAAACTTGATGTTCTTCTCAATACTCTGAGGACTTTGCATTGACTTTATATATCCCTATAAAATTGGACTGTTTTGTCTTTTACAATGAGCATGCATCACTTTGTAATTAAAAATAAAGACCAAGTAGAAAAAAGAATGGAAGGAAATAGTTCAACTTTTATTAAGTTGTTCCCTTCAAGAGTGAGATCAAGCTATCCTCTCACTCCACTCCCCCTCTTAAAAGTATTTACCCATATTTACTAAATCTTTTACAAACAACAAAAAGGTGAAAACAAAGCTATGTTTACCAGCCTCATAAACTTTTTAATAGACCAATGCATCGTCTTATAAAAGAAATTCCAAGAACCCCTGGCACCAGAAAGATAAATAAATATATTATTCTGATTTTGTTTTGTACAGGCTCTATCATTCCTCTGTATTTTTGCTAGTTTTTTAGTTTTCTTATTCTAGTTAATGTATTTCAGCACACAGTTAAATGAGAAAGTTGTCAGTTCTCTCTTCAAAAGAAGTAAAAGACGCAGTCTAGAATTTGTTTTCATACATTGAGAAGATTATGTAATAGTCAAAACAAAACAAGTCAGTGTTTTCTCCCTGCGTCCTGATTTCCTTATGCTACTCTGTTTTTTCCCGTAGTTCCCTACCTCTTCTGAATTCCTCAATTATTTATTGTATTTATTATTTGTTGTCTGCCTGCCTTCATCAGAATTAAACTCACAAGGCAGATAATTTTTTCTTCCTTCTTTTTTGATGTATCCCAGCTACTAAAGCAATGGTTAGCCAATAGTGGGTACACTATAAATGTTTGAATGGATGAAAAGCTACCTGCAACTGTAAAAATGTGAATTGGATGAATGAAGATAAAGAATTCTGCCAGGTGACATTCAGGTTAGATTATGGTTTGTGTAAGAAAAGCAAGTTAGACTATGGTTTATGTAAGAAAAAACACAGATTACATGTTGACTGTAAGAATACTTACAAAATATTGCTTGGTAATTCACTTATTCACTCATGCAAAATGAATTTGTGGTGAGGGCCTATAATAGGCTAGCAGGAGCTGGAGAAACCTCAGTAAACAAAACATACCAAGTCCCACTGTTAGGGACTTACATTCTGGCATTGAGGAATTAGGAAAAAAAAGAGTTATGGAAACACCATAAAGTTGAGTGAAGGTAAAGAATGGTAAATGATGACGGATATCATGAAAACACTCCTCTGATTTTGGGATAGAAGTTGCATTTAGGTTTTCAAAGGTATTATGAACAGAATGAAGAATGGCATGCTGAAGCTTCTATGTTAGGTATTGGGAAGAAAGAGTGAAGAAGAGACATGTGGCTCATGAGGCTTATGCTTGACTTGTGCTAGAAGAAATTGTTTGGTTGATGTAAACCAAGATCTTTTATAATTCATTTTTCTTTAGAAGGATTCTCTTATATGTTACCTTTAGATTAATAGAAAACACCACATTTTAAAATAATAAAGTAGAAAGGGGACAGGATAGTACAATCTTTAGATGATAATACTTTGCATCCTTTTTTGAGTCAGCATCCAAAAATAACTACTGAGAACATTTTCAAAAAATTGTTACAATTGTCACGTCACAAAACCCCAAGTCCTTATGAAAATTGACAAAAAACAAGATGATTTTATAGAAAGGAATTGGACAGTATAATGACATGTGAGTGTGTAAAGAATGAAATCAGATCAGTGTGAGTGGTGAATTTAGCCTTAGATGAGTATAAATAAACATCGCTTTAAAGCAATTCTTAGTGGAAGAAAAAGACATCAACCTTCCCTAAGTGTCACACCCAGTTTCTAGGAGAAGAATCTTATTTTATCCTAAGCTAAGGCTTAATTCTTTCTCTTTTCATGGTGTAAGAGATTAATTTGCATTAATTCCGGATTTCTGAAAGTTGTGTGTTGGGAATCATTGGCAAAGAAAATAGATTTTAATTAAGAGGAACTTTTTCATGTTTCACATATCCGTATATCTGCAGGGGAGGCTTGTTGGTGGACCATACACCCTGCCTCTAAGCAGCGATCAGAAGGAGAAAAAGTACGAGTTGGAGATGACCTCATCTTAGTTAGCGTGTCCTCTGAAAGGTACTTGGTAAGTGTGGAAAGTAGGATCATGTATCTGCTGATATGCTAAATGACAAGTCAATAAAATGATCTCTTTAAGGTTTATATTGTAAATTATCTATGAAAATTGCTTATAACCATTCCTCTATCTCTATTAGATTAATTATAAATAACTTCCTAAACGGAAGAATAATGTGATGTGGGTGCAAATATAGCTTATCAGGTTGTTCAGGCAGGCTTCCCTCATAACCTTGATATGCATGTTCATGATATTGATAGTACCTTTTAATAAATTACTTTATTGATAGAATGTAAATGCAGTCTAATCAGGAATTAAAAATTCTATGGTCTTTATTTTGCACCTGATGAAAAGGCTATATTAATGAGGTTGTGATTACCTATTCTGATATTTATGAAAGCAAATTATTATGTGAGGAACACATGCCATGTTAAGAAGGGAGAAATAGACAAAAGAAGAAATAGTTTGAAGTCTATCATTGACACTGCATTGTTTCAAAGAGTAGGGGCTGGAAATGGGAGAATGAAGGAAGAAGTTTGTGTTTAATCATGAAATGCTGTCTTAGTCTGTTTTCATGCTGATGATAAAGACACACCCAAAACTGGGCAATTTACAAAAGAAAGAGGTTTGTTGGACTTACAGTCATGGTGGAAGGTGAAAGACACGTCTCATGTGGCAGCAGACAAGAGACAAGAGCTTGTGCAGGGGAACTCCTCTTTTTAAAACCATTAGATCTCATGAGACTTATTCACTATCATGAGAACATGGGAAAGACTTGACCCCCATTATTTAATTACCTCCCACCGGGTCCCTCCCACAACATGTGGGAATTCAAGATGAGATTCGGGTGGGGACACAGCCGAACCATATCAAATGCATTTTGAACTTTTGTGGTAAGGTCAATATGTATTTAATTTAACTTATTTAGTAAGTTGTAGTTTTGCCAGAGAGTAGTCCAATACAGAAGTTTACAGTAAATTGAAATGAAGTAAGTTGAAATGAAGATGTGAAGGATGCTAGAGCAAAATATTCATTTTAAGGTTGAAAGGTGACTAAATAAATATAAAATGGGGCATTGTAAACTTTATATGAATATTCACATGAAAAATCCCAGGCATCACAGTGTGTGATGATTGAAACAAAAATCTGAAATAGGGCATGTGGCAATTTAGCAGATACCGGGTTATAGAAAGTATTTTACCACTACCATAAATCAAAATGTAGTTCATGTGTTACTGGTTTAGGATTAAGTAAGTAGTTGATACCCCCTTTGTTCTATAAACATGAAATAGGGTAAGTTTGGGGATGTTGTAAGTCAGTTTTGGTTTACCAATACATTTAATTCCAGATTTGAAACATTTCTAGGAAGATTGGTTTTGTTTTGTTTCACTTGCCTTGTAGAAGAGGTAATGATGAAGACAAGGAAATGGTATAACAGTGTCTCGTGTAACTGACAGAAACTATTAAATTAAATGGAGTGTCTGATGTTGCGTAGCTATAGGGAGACCTGGAGCATTTTTCTACTTTTGTCCCTTAACCAATGTAGGTAGAAATAGTCACCATGCGAATTTCTAGGACAATACAGGTGTGCAGATTGTAAAATAAGCATTAATTAAGCTCTTGCTATATGCATGTGCTATGTATGTTAAGATGATGTATTTTGATCAGATATGCATTTTGAATTGTAGTTGTACCTGGAAACCAATAGCAGTAGAAATAATTCATGCACACTTTTAATATATAAATTATACACATACTTTATTTAGATTTTGACATAACTATGAATTTTTTCTTGTTGTTGTTGTTGTTTTACAATTTGTACTTCCGCTACGTATCAGAGTTTATTTGACAGGATGGCATCATTATGCACTGAAAAATGGAAAATTCAGACCTCACAGGGCCAGGACTTCTAACATCTATTCTACAACTAACTACCTGAGAAAGTCATCTAATTCTCTGAACTCTGGCTTTCTCATCTGTAAAAAATGAGGTTGATGCTGATAATCATGCATAGTGCCAAGGTTATTGTGAGGAAGCAATGAGATAATGGATTTAAATATGGGCAGAATTAAAAAGCACTACACAAGTGAAAGCAATAATAATGATGATAAGTGAGGTTTACCTCCTATAGAAGGAAATAAACCTCATGATTAATTAAAATTTACAAGTGATTTCCAAACTACATTTTATTGTTTTTTTTATTTTATTTTATTTATTTTTTGAGACAGGATCTTGCCCTGTGGCCCAGGCTGGAGTACTGTGGCCATCATAGCTCACAGAAGCCTCAACCTCCTATTCTCCCCAGTCAGCCTCCCGAGTGGCTGGGACTACAGGCATGAGCCACACCTTGCCCAGCCTGTGCTACATAGCCAATTATTTATGTTCTCTTTCCTGGTAATCTTTTATATGGAGCTATAAGAGAGCAGCCAACCAGGTTGTTAAAATTTCACTTTCATTTGATAATGAAGTCGTTGCTTTTATTGTTGATCTCTATGGACCTAGCATATAGCAGAAACAACAGGAAAGGCCAAGGACACATCACTCATGCTTTCTAACCTCAAATAATTAGTGGAGAAAACAAATCAAACACATACAGAGCTGTATGAGGATATTGTAAGACAGTAAATACGCATTACAGTATAGCTTAGAGATGCTGAAGGACATTCCTATGGGTATAGAGATGGTGAATTATTATTTTACATTCCCACCATGGTGGATAGTAGCGGGTATATGAAGTACTATGGTGTGGATTCAAAGACTTATTTGGAGGACTCAGTGAAAAGGATCTAGAGAAACTGAAAGATCAAGAAGTGAGTTCGTGAAAGGACTTTGGGATAGGCAGAGGGAGTTGAAATAATCTATAGAATAAACCCTGAATAACTAAAGTTGGGCTGTGTGTATATATATGCACACTTGCCTTGTAGAATACACAAATATATATATATATATATATATATATATATATATATATATATATATATATATATATATATATAGTAAATACGAAGTCTGGTGAGTATGAACCTGGGCTAATCATGTAACCTTTAGAAACCCTCAGTTCCTTCATCTGGAGTCTGGGGAATAATAAAGAACTTAACTCATAGGGGTGTTACGGGATTAAATGCTGGAATCCAACAAGGCTCGTAGTTCTGTGAATGGCACATAAAAATTATTTAGTAAGTTACTGTCACTATTTACTTGGGAGATTTGTGCCTGTTAAGAATGGTTAAAGAAGTTAGGCATGGTAGCTTATGCCTGTAATCCCAGCACTTTGGGAGGCCAAGGCGGGAGGATCACTTTAGGCCAGGAGTTTAAGACCAGCATAGCCAAAAAGCAAGACCCTGTCTCTACTAAAAAATACAAAAATTAGGCCAGGCGCGGTGGCTCATGCCTGTAATCCCAACACTCTGGAAGGCCGAGGCGGGTGGATTACCTGAGGTCAGGAATTCAGGACCAGCCTGGCCAACATGGTGAAGCCCCGTCTCTACTAAAAATACAAAAATTAGCCAGGCGTGGTGGCAGGTGCCAGTAATCCCAGCTACTTGGGAGGCTGAGACAGGAGAATTGCTTCAACCCAGGAGGCAGATGTTGCAGTGAGCTGAGATCGCACCATTGCATTCCAGCCTGGGCGACAAGAGTGAAATTCCATCTCAAAAGAAAAAAAAGAAATGATCTGGGCTTGGTGGTGCACACCTGTAATCCCAGCTACTAAGGAGGCTGAGGCAGGAAAATCGCTTGAACTGGGGAGGCGGAGGTTGCAATGAGCCGATATTGTGCCTCATGCCACTGCACTCCAGCCTAGGTGACAGAACGAGACTCCGTCTCAAAAAAAAAAAAAAAAAAAAAAAAAGAATGCTTAAAGAAACAGCAGATATTTAACCAGAAGAAGAGATAGTTGGGAAAGAAACAGTGAAAGGAACATTATAGGTGATATTAACTAAAGATCTATCATGTGAAAGCAAGGTTCATCTTCTGAAGAGATGCTGGTGTTGTTAAAAATAAGTAAGTTTAACAATGTGTCTGATAACAAATTAGTTAAAACTAACTTCTAAAAATAAACATTTCCAGTCATTGATTTTACAACTCCTTGGTGATCAGTGTCTATTGACCGATGAGCGATTTTTCTTTCACTAACAGCGATGGTTAAGCTAAGATTAAACTAATAGTGCATGGGGTACACTAATACAACTATTACAATGCTAAATTGATGAAAGCTGGTTGAGAGGGTTGGTTTTCACCCTGTCCTCTGAGAACATGCCTTGTGGACAGAAGAGGATACTGTGGACAGCACCTGGGATTGCTGCACCGTTGTCTGCTTTATATGTTGAACATTGGGGCTCAATTCTGAGGTATAAAGGGTCTTAAGCTCTAAAAATGGTTGTAAACGCCTCACCCAGATAATGTCTTTTCTCATTTTTGCTGTTTTATGTTCTGAGGTAAAAGGATATGTTAATCTTCTTTTCAAAAATATCCAAAAGGAAAGAATTTTTTTTGCTCATTGAAAATCTTATTTTCTTTTAAAGAAGGCCTTAGCAAAGCACCTTAAGAGAAATATACAATTTAAAATAGAAAAAACATGGCCAAGTAGATATTACTGACTGAATTTATTTCAAACTAAACAAAATGAATCTTACAAAACAATTTTTTTCTGTGTGTTAGGTGTAAAAATCACTCCAGTAAGCCCAAATGTTTTCAATCTGTGGATTGGATTGTTTGCACTGGAAATGTAGATTTCCAACTGATTTTCTACTGATCAGGTTACTTAATGAAACAGGCCAAGTTTTTCGGATCTGTGAAAACATTGCCAAATAAACAACTGATTGAAAATATATTAGGAAAAGCAGAATGCTTATCTAAAGGGTGATGGAAAATGCTTAAGAGAAAGCTATTCTACAGTTCAAAAAATTTCTTTCTTTCTTACCCAACTCTAAATTTCTTTTTTTATTTTTTATTGTTATTTTTTATTATACTTTAAGTTCTAGGGTACATGTGCACAACGTGCAGGATTGTTACATATGTATACATGTGCCATGTTGGTGTGCTGCACCCATTAACTTGTCATTTACATTACGTATATCTCCTAATGTTATCCCTCCCCCCTCCCCCCACCCCACAACAGGCCCCGGTGTGTGATGTTCCCCTTCCTGTGTCTAAGTGTTCTCATTATTCAATTCCCACCTATGAGTGAGAACATTCGGTGTTTCGTTTTCTATCGTTGCGATAGTTTGCTGAGAATGATGGTTTTAAATTTCTAATAAAAAATATAGATAATTATTGATTGCATAATAAATTGCTGAACTGCCTCAAGTTGTGTGAAAATAATGATAAAAGAGTGATCATAAATATTTTCAAGTGATTTATTATATGAACCAATTCATTTTTGATTAATTTGCTGTGAGCCTTTCTTTCCTCTGTGGCTCAGGTAATGGAACCATAAAATATTACATTTGGAAAGAACATCTATTTCTCTGCCCCTCATTTGTTTTTGTTTTTTTTTTTTCAGAAGAAAAAACTGATGCCTGAGGAGTAATGTGACTTGTTTACTTGTGTTTCCTGTCCTTAAATGACAATTTGTTCAGAATGTTGCATCACCAGGGCCGAAGTACCTGAAAGTTTAATAAAAAATGAATAAATGAATGAATAATTGCATCAGATAAGGGTTCAATTGAGAGATTCTTGGTACGAAGTTTTTGTACCATGGACTTCCATTGCAAATTGATAAAACTTATTGACCTCATCATAAAAATGGTGAAGTGCATAAAATAAATACGTAGGATAACAAAGGAAACTAAAGGTATTGAAGTATAGTCTGTGTACTCCAGCTAAAGAACTCCTGGAAGGTGATTTATCGTGTCCCTTCCATTTCTGAGATGTTGCACTTCTATCGTGTAATGTCTTGTTACTCTTGGATCAGCAGTCTTGATTGACAACCCCTGCAACTACTCTGCATTCCAATCTAGATTTTTTTACATTTTCTTTTCTTTTTTCTTGTTTTTTTTTTTTTTTTTTTTTTTTTTTTTTGAGACAGAGTCTTGCTCTGTCGCCTAGGCTGGAGTACAGGGGCACGATCTCGGCTCGCTGCAAGCTCCACCTCCCGGGTTCACGCCATTCTCCTGCCTCAGCCTCCTGAGTAGCTGGGACTGTAGGTGCCTGCCACCACACCCGGATAATTTTTTATATTTTTAGTAGAGACGGGGCTTCACCGTGTTGGCCAGGATGGTCTCGATCTCCTGACCTCGTGATCTGCCCGCCTTGGCCTCCCAAAGTGCTGGGATTACAGGCGTGAGCCACCGCGCCTGGCCCTTCAATCTACATGTTTAAATACAATATCCTCTGAAGATTCATGTGCCTATTAGAGCTTGAAAATCACTAGTCCTGGGATCAAAGTGAGACCCGGGTGCCCAGAGATTGGTGCCCAAAGCCCTTGTACTGCTGCTGGTGGACTGGTGCTACTATATTTTTGTGTAAATCCTGCAGTGGTTACATATTTCAGCCTAAGGCCGACTTGGCTTTCATCCTCTGCCAGTGTCTGTTTTTGCTTTAAGGATAATTCATCTCAGTTTCAGTAACTGAAACTGTTGTTGCTTTCTGAATATTGCATACCACAAGCCTGACGTGATGTAGTTTTTACCCAGACTTCCCTTTGCTGTTTAAGCAGCAAAATTGGAAGCATTCAAATTAGAATATTTTCTTCAGAAGAGTAGACCTTATTTAGAGAACTTTATATGACTGTAATATGATCTTAAGGACATATTTGGGACCTTTTCCCACAGACTGAAATTTTCATATGCTTATGGTTCTCTCATATTTATTATTTATCTTCAGGCATAGATATGATTTGGAAATTGCCTTTTTAACTCCGTCACCTATTTTATTACTGCTGTAAACTCCTTATTACCTAAAATCAAGGTCGTTGGTTTGGCGCCAGCCTTTGTCTGTGGACCTATCAGTCATTCCACCTCTTAGCATGTGCTGTCAGCCCCAAAGACAAAGCTCTCGGCTGTAATGTATGTCCCCGTATCTCCACCTTTGTGCTCACGCTCTTGTCTTCAACACATTCCCCTTATCACACATTCCCCTTCTCAGAACTTCTTAGAGGGCCAGGGGGCCCAGCCCACTTCTGATAGCAAGGTTTCTGGTATGTTAAAAATAAAAATCCCCAAATGGTTTACAAAAATTTTTGGTATGTTTTAAATATTTGCACATAGCGCATTCACATTACTAATCTACATACTCAAATCCAATGTATGTAGACACTTGTTTGGGGACAGCAAATATATAAATGTGAGACACAGGCCAAGTGATCCTACTGGCTCCCTCAAAGCCCCCAACCCATGAGAAACTCTGCTCTCATTTTGTTGTCTGCAGTGTTCTCTCCTTACAATTCCTGTAGCACGTTGATTATGATTTACACAGCATTTTTAAAGGCTTTTTCCTACCTTCCATATCCATTTATTTATTTATTATTTTATTTTTTTTTGAGAAGTAGTCTCGCTCTTTTCGCCCAGGCTGCAGTGCAGTGGCGTGATCTCGGCTCACTGCAAGCTCTGCCTCCCGGGTTCACACCATTTTCCTGCCTCAGCCTCCTGAGTAACTGGGATTACAAGTGCCTGCCACCATGCCTGGCTAATTTTTTGTATTTTTAGTAGAGACAGGGTTTCACCATGTTAGCCAGGATGGTCTCAATCTCCTGACCTCGTGATCCACCTGCCTCAGTCTCCCATAGTGCTGTGATTACAGGCGTGAGCCACCATGCCCGGCCGTATTTATTTTTTAATTTAATTGGTACATAATTTATTTTATTGGTACAAAATATCACATGTAGCCCATAAATATGTATATATTTTACATATGCATATACATACACAAAATACACAAAATGCTGTACCTCAGTATATAAAAAGTGTTGTGTGTAATGTTTGAGGTGATAGATATCTCAATTACCCTGATATGATCACTGCACATTGTATGCATGTATCAAAATATCACATGTGATATGTTTATATACTGAGGTACAGCATTTTGTGTATGTATTTTACTCTATGAGATTACAAGCACCCTTGGGGTGGAGAATGTGTACTATTAATATACATAGTACATTCAGTGAACCCATGATGAATTAACAAATGATGGTAATCTACTTATCATAATATTACATGAGCTTTCACTTGGACACAGATATGAGCACGGGTATTTTGAATTATTTTCAGAGTTTGGTTAAAATCGGTGTCATTCACATGGATTTGTATGTGTGTGTGCCTGTGCACGTGCTTTTTTTTACACTAGGTTATTGAAATACGAGTATTTATGGAACAGCTTAAAATGTGTGTTTTTATGTTTATGATACTTTGATTTTATGATTTTTGTTAGCTTCTCCACATACGTGTTTACTGGATAACATTGCCAGATGCTAGGAACACAGCTGTGAACCTGTGTCAGGTAGCTTCTAAAAGGGAAAAAGAAAATAAGCCCAAGAATTTCACTGTGTGATAATTGCTTTGAAGGGAAATATATTCTGCTTGTTTGTTAAAGCAGATGGGATATGATTTATTTGTAAACAATTAAACAGTTTTAACATACTGGAGAAGAAATTGAGTCAATAAAGGAATCTTAGCTGGGATTACAGCTAAGACTGTAAGAATGACAGATTGAAGTAAAGAAGAAATTGTACAAAAGCAGGCAGCTAGTTGAGGTTGAGGAGAGGAATAAGAGCAAATTATTGCCAAGTCTTATGTATCAACTGGTAAACTTTCAATCTTATTCATTGGAAAAATGACTGATAAACACTGTGTACATATCACAATGTTTAAAGTTTCTTTGGTTTTATTTTTAAGAGAAAGAGAGTGAACGACCTCTTCTTGATGGTGACTTGAGAATAGTATCTTTATGTTAAAGAGACCCGTAGGATGTTTAAAAGGCCTGTGGAGTACACCTAAGGTGACTACTTTAGGCGTGACTGATCATCTAAATAAGATGGTCAAGATTTCTGGGAAATTTCTGGTCTGATTAAAGTCTGTGAAAACTTAGGCTGTCATCAGCATTGGCAAAGCATTGCAGAAACATTGCAGGGATATTGGCGATGTTTACTGAGAAGACTCCACGAAAACAGGTGGTTGCTCTATGTATGTTTGAAATTCTAGAGGCAGCCAAGTTATGATGAGTAAAATAAGCAAGTAATTTTGTTTTTCTTAGTTAACATTTGATAATTCAGTCTTATGGCTCTAAAAGATATTAAGTATGTTTTATTTTAATGTGTTTCTATTTTTAGGAAGGAAAATCTGAAATGTGCTAGTATCTGAATTTCGGAAGAAATGTAGCTTGGTTTTAGATAGCTGTTAGGAAATATCGCCATCTAATGGCTTTTGCATCAAATTGCAGATAACAGTTCCTGAAGGACTCCATAAAAGACCCCATAAGACGCCTAAGGACTTCATAAAATGAAGACTCCATAAACTTGGTCCAATAGATTTCACTTACTTCATCATCAAAAAGCTGTCAGAGTGTGATATGTAGAAAACCTAATTATAATTTTAAGTGCTCATTTTGTTCATCAACCATCGTTAAAACAAAAATAGTATCTTGTTACAAATAAACTTATTTAGTGTATTCATTTATGCATATTTTGATTATTGACTTAAGTCAGTAACTGTTAGAATGAAGTTTAAAAATCCGTAAATTCAGAGAGGAACTTCTTTTCTTCTGACTAGTTTTTTGATTCTTGAATGACAGGTTGAAACAGATGTTCTCTATGAACATAACCAAATCAGCAACGTTAAGTTTGCATTCCTAGAAGCACTTACATGTTACAGCTTACCAGAGCCTGAAGTGATGCCTCCTTTTGCCTCTTGATACAGCACTTGTCTTATGGCAACGGCAGCTTACACGTGGATGCCGCTTTCCAGCAGACTCTCTGGAGCGTGGCCCCAATCAGCTCAGGAAGTGAGGCAGCCCAAGGTAAAAACTCCACTTCAATTAGAGGGCCTGTCCTTGCTGCAAAGTTGACAGTCATCTTTGGAATTGTGATAATGAGCTGATTGTTAATTAGAGCTTTTTGTCTGTGTCTAAATATTCTGTAATGCAGATACCTGACATTTGAGGATCTTGTTTAAACTGCTATTTTAACAGTGAAGCTTGGGTGAAGATTAATCTTCCCTTATTTTTATGCTACTGTCAGCTTTAGTTTATTTGTGTATGCTTTATGTGATAGCTTCCTATGGATTGTTTTCTTCAATTTTTTGACCTCAGAGTATTGCCTGGTTGGACTAATGTCAAGATTTCTTATTTTCTGAGGTCATGCCTTATAGCTGGAATACGAATTTTACAAAGGAGCAGGGTTTCCTAGGGAAATATCTGTATATGTTCTGGTTATTCCAACTTACATAGGTTCACATTTGATTCTAAATGTGTTTGTATGTTTAACAGAGGATTTTATGTGTCTGAGGTCATGCTTTTAGTGGGAATATCCCTAACTGTGGGACTCGGGCACCCAGGACTCAGAGGGAACAGCAGGCACTGTCTATCTCTGTGACCTTGGCCAGGTCCTTAAGACTCACTAGACTTCAGTTTCTTTACGAAAGTAGAAGATTGGACCAGATGATCTGTCTGGCTATCAGCACCTGACACTGACAGTCCAGACCTGAATGATTTTTTATCCTTACAGGGTATCTCATTGGTGGTGATGTCCTCAGGTTGCTGCATGGACACATGGACGAGTGTCTCACTGTCCCTTCAGGAGAACATGGTGAAGAGCAGCGGAGGTTAGTACCTGAGCTCATTGCATTGAGACTTGCACTCTTTTGCCTTGATGTAATGTTTTAAAAACTAGGGATCTATTCATTCAGGCCAGTAGCATCATACAAGATGGGCTACTGACATTCATTGATTCACTGAAGTGATCCATTTGTTGCCCCCTCTTAGCTTTTTCTCATGTTATATTTCTATTACCTACCAACAGAAGAACTGAAAATTTTTGTATAATTAAAACATATTAAGAAACACTGAACAAAATTAACGAAGTGAGAAGAGTGACCACATTGCATTAAACTACTTAGAACTTCATTAAATGCTCATTAGTTTTGATTAATTTTCTTTTTAGAATGTTTAATCTCAAACTCAGTTTTGAAGTCAGAGTTCTCAAATTGCGTACAATTTTAGGACCCTTTGCTATGACCTCTCATTTATTGATACAGATGATAGAATTGATCACTTTCTCTCATATTTAATCTGATATAATACCTCTCTCATGTTAATTTATTTGGCACTGGGACAAGATTACAATAGTATGAATCTACTGAGAAAAGTGCACAAATATTACAAAACCATAAAAATATTTAGAATAGTTTGCTACTGCTCTACCTTACAAATTAATCAATGAATGTAGTAAGATGAATATGTAAATAAGAGATTGCAGTGAGAGAAGGTACTGTGTGGATGGTTTGTTATGTATCTTTAAATCTTTTAGTGGACATTTTTCATATTAACATGGACACTTAGGTAACTATTAGTTAATAATTATTTATTTTTATAATTTAATAAAAATACATAGGGACCATTTAGAAAATTAAGAGTCATTTAACCAGCTGCATAATCTCAGGAAAAGTCCCTCTGAGACCTGGGTACTGGGTCTTAACCTCTGTTCCCAGGCAGACCTAGATAATGGTCAAGAGTGACATAAGTCCCCTGGAAACATTCCGTAAGCTAAAACTGCCTCTTTCAGTAGGTTTAGGAAGAAGATGTCGATGGTGTCAGTAGGGTTTGTATAAAAGATAATGGAGATTTTAAGACACTTGGATAAGGAATTAGTTTCAAACAGAAATATAAACTTAAGAACTAGAGAGATGTCAAGCATATTCTGGGAATAGCAATTATTCCAGAGTGATTAGGGGGAAAATGGAGGAAAAGGTGGAAAGTAGACAAGAGAAAGATCCTTAGTGCCATTCCCGTGGGCTGGCTTCTATTCTGAGGTTGTTAGGAAGGGATGTGGGGATCAGAGTGGAATAGTTAGTTCTCTTTTAAAATAATAACTCTGTTAGGCAAGGAGAACTTAGATTAGAGGTGGGGAGAATCTGAGTCACGGAAATGAAATGCAGTAATTCGTGTGACAAAATCCAAGAACTTAGCCCAGATAATGCCATCAGAATGGAGAGGTTTACTTGCATCATAGACATTTAGATAAAAGTGATGGGTTTAGGGGAGAACTAGACACAGGCTGTGAGAGAAGGTATCTAATCCAGCGCCATCTTTTTTTCTGCCTCAGGGGAAGACAGCTGGAGCTAAGGATTGCAGGAGATGGTACATGTTTGCTATGAAAGATGGAGTTAAACTTTGGTTACAGATGAGTACAGTCTATGAGACGTCCAGTAGGAAATTGGGATGTCTGAGTCTTTAACTTAACAAAACTTGGGATGGGTGCAAATTCTAAGTGTAAGGGGGATATTTAAAGGAATGGGGTCTATCATATGTTCATCAGATGGAGAGGGAAGAGCTGGGATTAGATGTGTTTGTCGATTGGGCATGGCCTTATGAAGGCTGTAAAGACCTGGAATAGCCTAATCAGGCAGGGGGCTGAGGATGGATTCCTACAGAATGCTGATGTTTAGGATGTGGGCAGAGAAATAAGAGTCAGCAAGAGAGTCAGAGTGATAGTTTAGTAGGGAACCAGGGAAGTTAGTCATTGAAGTCAAAGGATTGGGTTGTGGATATGTTAAATGCTATGGTGTGTTTATTTGGAGTTAGAGCTTATAAGAGACCATGCCAGAGTCTTTGGATCCTCAGTCCCTGATTTGTTAAATGGAAGACAGACTAAGTGTTTCTTAGAGCTTTTTCGGCTGTATCTACAGACACTGTAGAGCTTCGTGGTTAAGGTAATGGACTCTAGAACCAGACAGATCTGGGATTGGGGTTCTGCTCTGCCACTTACCAGTTGTGTGACTCATGTAGGTGACATAGTTTCTTTAAACAATGGTTTCCCCTCTTTGTAAAATGCAGCTTAAATATTATCTCCTGCTTTATGGGGCTATTGAAAAGACTAAATAAGAAAATACACGTAAAATACTTGATGCATATTGAGAAATCAACACATTTATTGTTATTATTTAGTCTGTTGCTATTATTTAGTCTGAAGAGGCAGCATTTAGCCAGATATGATTGAAAAGTTTGAGGGACTCTGGGCATATGGATGACAGAATGGCAGAGCATAGACTTTGTAGGAAGAGAGGCCAGACTGGATCCAAGAGGATCCTTTCGATGGCTAGTTATGATTGCAGAGAAATCTAGGGGACATTTCAAAGATATTTTAATCATGTTCTGGACCCACTCTCCCTTTGCATATATGTTGAAGCCTGCCCCTCCTTTCCAAATAGTCTTCTTGATTTCATGTTGATAATTTCAGTTCAACTTATTCTTAGTATGTAATTAGACCAGCCTATCAGGACTCTTGGTAGGTAGTGATGGTGGTAAGAACGCGTTTGTTTGTGTCCCTTTTTATAGCATATTTACATGGGTGAAATTAGATTAAAATGGATGTCAGATTATGACTCGAGGGAGAAAATGAGTCAGCAGTAGGCAGCATGGAGCTGAAGGGATGTTGCTTAAGAAAAAACTATTTGTGTTGGTTATACTGGGATTGAGCAATTATTTGAATAGAATGATAAAAATAATTCCTTGAATTTCACAATTATATAGCACTTCATTATTTCTAAATCTTGTTAATACCATTGTTTAGAAAGTTTTCAACCTCCCTCTGTTATTTCCCTAGGTCATTGTAAGGAACTTGGGGGAGGCAAAGGATAGCTCACCCCGGAAGCAGCCTTTATTTATTTGTTATCAGTCTGTACTGGGGGAGACATGCATAATGATCATCTAAAAATATACTTTTTTCATTCATTAAACAAAGAAGTAAAAGTAATTTGATTTTTGCACAGTGACATGAAAGCTAGAGAAGGTCCTGGGAAATATGTAAAAAAAATTTTTTACCTTATAATTCTTTCCTGTAATTATGATCTGGCTATACTCATTAATTGTATGCTGTTGTTAACGTTAAATAACTAAAGTCCAATTTACTTTGTTAGGAGACATAGTGGAAACTATTAAGGAGATGGCCAGAAAAGATGTTTACTTCTGAGTGATTTAGGAATAGTCTGGTCATAAATGCTGTGTTTCTACATGGATTTGTGCACCTGTTCCTGCTTTGTTCTATTGACAGTTATTTAATATACATAACTGTAATTGTAGCTATTGAAAATCCACCTCAATAATGGGTTTTATGATTCTGGATATCAGTAGAGTTACCTTTACCTTCCTCTTCACATTTAGATATGTATGTGTATGTGGTTACCTATTCATTCTCCTAAAGAATGTTAATAAAGCTCTTAGAATGAAGAGCATATAGAGCTATTCAGTTAAGAACAACTGAATTGGAGATGATGCCTATCAGAGTTAAACTAAATATTTATCTTTTTCTCATGCTTCCTGCCCATTTTGCTTTTATGGATTGAATCCTGACGTGTTCATGAAATACAGCATCATTATTGTTTTAAGTTACTTGAGATTTTTTTCCGAAAGACAAATCGCTCTAAAATGACTAGTAGACAACTTGTCTAAACAACAACAAAAATAGTAAAAATATAACCTATAGTAGTTGTGAGCAGTCAGGTATAAGGGAGAGAGCTCATTAGTATTAACTATAGTGTCGTAACTTTTTAGTTCTTATTAAACTCTTCAATTAGTGAGATAGAATGAGTTAAAGAGAAGCAAGTCTGGTAGTTGGGAAGGGATGTGTCAGTATCCCTTGTCAATCATGTTTTAATTATTGCTTTAAAAATAGGCTTTTGCACAACAGGGTAACTATAGCCAACAATAAATTTATTGTACATTAAAAAATAACTAAAAGAGTGTAACTGGATTGTTTGTAACACAAAGGATCAGTGCCTGAAGTGATGGATCCCTCATTTACCCTGAAGTGATTATTATGCATAGTATGCCTGAATCAAGGCATCTCATGTACCCCATAAATATATATACCTACTACATACCCACAAACATTAAAAATAAAAACTTAAATAGGCTTTCATTCTGGAGGCTTGACATTTGACTACTAAATTTTATTTCAAGCCTGACATATTTTATGTGGAGAGTATTTTCTGTTCTAGATTTTGTTTCTAGATTGCATCTCATTATTTCCATCCAAAATTTTATGTGAATATAATAAAATATCAACAAAGGCATTTCCTTTATGTGCACATAGACTTATTTATGGATTTGATATGCACTATGTGAATAAACTGTGCATACTTTTATATTGATACATTTTAAAATGGATGCATTGGGGAAGATTATTTGGGGCCTTTAGTTTGGAAATCTATTAAGGAAACATTGTTTGAAAAGCATTATTTATGTTAAAAACAGGTTTGCAATGTCGAAACTTTTTATTGATTCAATAAGAATGTGTAGAATGACTATGATTTTCTGGGTGCTGGGGCTATAGTAGTATACACAAAGTTACAAAGTTTATTTTCTCAAGAAGTTTACATTCTAGTGGGCATATGCGGCAATAAATACGTTTATTTCTAAATGTATACACTTACCCACATATACAGAGATGAAATGCATTAGGTGATGATAAGAGCTAAGGAGAAAAATAATGCATGGAAGGGGATGGAGAGTGTTCATGTGTGTGGTATGTTTTGTGGGGTGGTATGACGGAGAGGTGGGGAGAGAAGGAGAGAAAGCTTGTTCTTCTTCCACCTTATCTGGCATTGCTCTTGGCATATGCTTGCTGTGTCTTGTTACTTTCAAATGCAGGCCAATTAAGTCATAGTTTCTGACAGTATCTGGAAATAAATGCTACATTTGCTTCCCAAAATGTGACTCAGCAGGAAAAAGCTATGCCATGTGTATGCATGACAAGATTTTTACCTCCATGCCCCCTTTTAATATTATGATGATTTAATGAGCTTTAGTTGTAAATAATTGATAAGGCATGAGATGGATTGGATGTAATGAATTAAATGCCTCTCCATCTGGCTTAGAAAGAGATGCATAGTTTATATCTGTGTACACAACTGGATGACTGATATCCTTGTGAGGATATTTGTATGCCTTTGGCCACCACCTAGGAGGAAGCTCTTAAAGCTATTCTGTTGTTCTCCAAAATGGTCAAGGATAAAGTTTAACCTATGAGGGTTTTTCTTCTTTTTCTCTGTCTTCAGGTCCTGCATATATCTTTTCAGCCTGGAACTGAGAGTTAGATGAGTTAGCTAAACAGTCTTGATGGAATAGTCAGTACATAAAGGAGAGCTACTTTCTGCTCTTTGCCTCTTCTCCTTTGGGAGAGATTCGCTTTTTACCCCAAACTTAAACTCCTTGCTGATTGCAGAGAGTGCAGTAGCTGCTGTAGTTTGTCATGTGTTCTGGAAGCCTGACTTGGTCTAGAGCCGCACTCTCAAGGCAAGGACTGGGTAAAATGACTGCTTCAAAAACGTGGGCTTCTAACACAAGATTAAAAACATTCATAGGAATTTGAGCTGTTGGATCTTGGCAAAAATGAAAAACAATGAGACATTTGATGCATTTAGAGTATATGAATAGAAAAACAGACAATAGATTAAAATCAACATTATACAAAAAAATCTCTCGATGATTTTCTCAATTAAAATTTAAGAACATGACTTGTCTACACTGGGTTTATTAACTTAATCTATATGTAAGCAATATCTTTCAGAAGAAAAAAAGAAAGAGAAGCATCTTCTTTTGTAAATTTCCAGATGCCTTTATGGTTGTATTGTGTTCTGCAAAGCAATGGTAACAACATGTATTTTGTTGTTTTTCTGCTCTAGTCCTACCTACATGATTCTTTCAATGGTGATTCAAAGTGTAAGCTATTGTTGTTTCAAATCTGTGCTGATTCATTTACATTTTATGCAGAGGTGTCATCTCAAAACATACCTATTTTCCCTTGTGCAGCAACTTGAATAGAGCTATTGTGGCAAACTGAGCTCCTGAATAAACAAGTAATGCTTCTTGGGATGCTGGTTAGGCAAGTACTTCTTGATTTGTTACTAGGAAGAGACTCCTGACAGCTGCTTTAGCACCTGCCTGCGGCTCAGCTGCTCAGCCACATGCTCCCAAAGGTACCAGCAGCAGAAATTCTCCTATGAAAATGTGTCAACTGAAACGCTTATAATTTCACTCTGAAATAACCTTTTAAGACTGGATCTGCTTTTCAATCACCTCAACTCAATTCTTTTAATATTTATTGAGGGACTTGTATAGCCCAGACATCTTTGGCATGTGCTGGGTATGAAAACATGTCTAAGGCCCTGCCACTATCTTTCTGGAACTCACCGTCTCTATTAGTCTGTTCTCACACTGCTATAAAGAAATACCTGAAACTGGGTAATTTATAAAGACAAGAGTCTTAACTGGCTCACACTTCTGCAGGCTCTATAGGCTGGGGAGGCCTCAGGAAACTTACAATCATGGCAGAAGGCGAATGGGAAGGAGGCATGTTTTACGTGGCTGGAGGAGGAGCAAGAGAGCAAAGGGGAAGTGCTACACAGTTTTAACAACCAGATCTCGTGAGAACTCACTATCACAAGGATAGCAAGGGGAAAATCTGCCCCCATGATCCAGTCACCTCCTATCAGTCCCCTCCTCCAACACTGGGGATTACGATTCAATGTGAGGTTTGGGCGGGGACACAAATCCAAACCATATCACCATCTTTTAAGATCTCAACAACACTATATTCAGGATGAAGTGAATGTTAATCTGGGAGAAGCCATTTATAATTTTGGTAAAACTTAGATGGTAGAAAACATATTTTACCATTCAACCATGTGAGAAAGATCAGCCAAGTCTTTGTTGACCTTTGATTTTGAAGGATATTTTTGTCAGCCTATAAAAAGTTAACAAAAAAGCTTTGCTTTTCTCTAATTAGTTTGAACCTGCTATTCAATATCAACTCTAAATGGGAATTGCAGGTGAGTAATTGTGGGTGACTGTAACTATTTTTCAGACGATTCCTACATGCATTTTAAATACGAGGGTCTAGTCATACACGAACACAACCAAACTTGATTGAGGACACGTCCGCTAGTAGGACTGTCTTTTTTTTTTTTTTTTTTTTTTTTTTTTTTTGAGACAGAGTCTCGCTTTGTTCCCCAGGCTGGAGTGCAGTGGCGCGATCTCTGCTCACTGCAAGCTCTGCCTCCCGGGTTCATGCCATTCTCCTGCCTCATCCTCCCAAGTAGCTGGGACTACAGGCACCCGCCACCACGCCTGGCTAATTTTTTGTATTTTTAGTAGAGATGGGGTTTCACCGTGTTAGCCAGGATGGTCTTGATCTCCTGAACTCGTGATGCGCCCTCCTCGATGTCCCAAAGTGCTGGGATTACAGGCATGAGCCACCACGCCCAGCCAGGACTATCTTTAACTTCCCCACACTTTCACTTCCCGCATCCCATAGTGCCACTGATCACACGTGTTGGTCTGCATATTCATCTCTTCCATTCAGTTTTCAGCCAGGGCTGTGCCATTCATTTCTTGCATACCTTTTGCATAGTGAGGTATATATGGGAATCTGCATACAAATGCTATTGTTTCGTATTTGTGAAAGAAAGAAACGGAGAAAAAATAACTCTTGCACTTTAATGTAAGTTTGGTTAAGGATGGCTGTATAGAGAATCACCCTTGGTTGTGAGGTCCCCCATTTATATAATTTTGACAGTTCCTGAAGGATTGTTATCTGCCAGCAATTAGGGGCGGGGAAAGAAAGCCATCTTAATAAATCAGCATAACAACCTGAGTGAGTAGAAA